>NT_187624.1:0-183433 GCF_000001405.40 Homo sapiens | reverse complement strand
GATCATTCTGCTATGTGACTACCAAAAAGGCTGTTGTTCTTTTAGCCCTACCACTTGGTAAGATAGAAAGCTCTCCACACACAAGGCCCAGAGAAGGCTGATATCACAAGTCAGTGTGAGTTACACTCTTCTCATGCAATGGAGCTACTAAAATACATACATTTGGTCTTACAAAAAAATTACAAAACTAACAAATCTTTTTCTCCAGAATTATAAAAGATAGAATCTATGAATCAGTACTAATGTGATCACAGAAAAATAGCAAACTGAAGTCAAAAAGCACAGGCTGCCCATCATAGAGTCCCCAGTCTATTTAATATTTTCGACCTGCTCTGAGGATGGAGGGTGTCAACACCTTAGAATACCATGATGGGCTTTAAAACTGGGTAAAGAATCATCCCTAGGGTTAGGGCAAATGTAACTTCACTTATTGCTTACACACAGGAAAAAATCTGTTTCCTTTTCCAAGATATTCTTTTAAGGATTACTTGACAGTGGTTCTTTTAAAGGTATCAAAAGATGTCCTAAAAAAAAAAAAAAAAACCCTCTTTGGAATTCTCTCGGAATTCCAGAAAGATTATCTGGCAATTCATTCCTCCACCCCATCAAAATTTTTCCTTTGAAAAATTACAACTGGCAACTCACATAAGATTTAATCAACTTACTTAAAATAAGGGAGGGCTTCTCAATAATGTTTCCCCACTAGAAAACTAAGAAATTCAGTGATACTCAGTGCCAGTAATTAAGTGGTACATATCATAAAAATTCAAACTTGGACGCAGGTGCGTCACACCCAGAAAAGATTTTATACATTTATAAGCTTGTGCTTTCACACTTTATAAGCAACACAGGTTAGTTTCCACTTCAGTTTTCATTTTTAGTGAGTACCGTGCATGTTGCATGAGGGACGGTCATCAAACAGTCTCTCTTACGCAGACTTCAGTGTTTCGTCAGAGCCGAAAAAGAAACAGCCTTCTCTTTTTCTCTATGAAGATTCTCTCCACTTTGGGAAAACAATCTTCTATGCAATGAAGGTCTTGTGGAACTATGTAAACAAATCATACAACTGAATAGAATTTTAGAGGTCAATCAGGAACTAGAAGAAAACCATGGTGTGGATGAGCCCAGCAGTTCCCTTCCCCACAACGTCTGCCTCCAGGTGACCCTTCAACAGCACACAGGCAGCACGAACTTCACACTCAGCAATCTGCTCTTCCTATTTCCCCCTTTCAAACAGGAGACTTATTTTTCTCTGTAATAAAGCAAGTAGTATTTCAGGGGATCTGGCAGAGGGAGGCTCAGGACCTTCTGGCGTAGGAAGTTCACTGGGGGGTCTGGCTTTGTTTCCGGCGGGGTCTTCTCTTCTTCTTCCCTCCGTTCCTCTTCCAAGTCTTCACAGCTGTTGTCATCTGAGGGGTTGGAAATCCGACTGGCAAAGACTTCTTTGTCCAAAAAGACAATCGTTTCCATTCGACGGCGGCGAACTCTCCTTCGTTTAAACCTGGGGGTGTTCTTTAGTCCGTTTCCGTTTTTGCTCACAGTTTCCTGATGAATAATCTTTTTAATGGTGCCCCGGATGGCGATGCGAGCCAAGTCCTGGAGGCTGCGAACTGCCACTGGTGCTGCAGCACAGAAGAGTGAGACACAGTCAAATGCATCGGAGTGACACCACCACAACGCCTACACACCTAAGACCCGTAGCATCATTTCAATTAACTGGCAAATTTATGAATATGTTACAAGAATATGAGAGCATGCTAAGCAAATGTCAATTAGTGCTCTAATTTACAATCATATGGTACTTTTCAAAAGATATTTCCAAATGCATCAATTCTTAACTTTGAAAGGGAAAGGAAGCAATATTGCTTGGCTATATTAATCAGTGGTGGAATCAACACCTGGGTCACAATTTGTCTTCCTGACACAGCCCAGTTTCATTATTCTATTATTTGCTGTGTTCATGTGTATATTAATACCCACCTACTAGTAATACAGTGAATATGTCTCCAACATTCTTTTTTTGGAGACAGAGTCTTACTCTGTCACCCAGGCTGGGGTGCAAGGGTGTGATCTCGACTTACTGCAACCTCCGTCTCCTGGGTTCAAGTGATCCTCCCGCCTCAACCTCCCCAGTAGCTGGGATTACAGGCATGCGCCACCACGCCCAGCTAATTTTTGTATTTTTAGTAGAGACGGGGTTTCAACCACGTTGGCCAGGATGGTCTCAAACTCCTAACATCAAGTGATCCGCCCACCTCAGCCTCCCAAAGCGCTGGGATTAGAGGCGTGAGCCACTGTGCCCGGCCTAATATTCTTTTATCTGTTAATATTTTCATAGTTATTTACACAATGAACATTTGCTCCATTTTTATTAAAGTAGGGAAATGCAAATCCAAACATTTTTCAGGAAAAACAAAAACTCCAAAGCACACCAAGGAGAAAGAACATTTGACAATTAAAGCTCACGATTTCATGCAGGCAACATTTCTCAAAGGGAAAATTACATTAAACTGAAAATCAGCATCACTTTTCCCCTCCAGTACTCAACTTCTCCAAATAATAACAGTCTGCACTATAGGGAGAGCTCTTGTGTTGTGCACAACGTTTATTACCAAAGTCAGAAAGGCCTGCACAGAATCTCAGCATCTCCACTGTTCTTCAGAAACCCTCAAACAGGCTTGTGTCCCAGGCCCCTGGTAGTGAGTAAGTAGCACCTTCTCCCTTCAACCTTTCCTGCTTTTCTGACTCCACAGACAAGAGGTCCCTTCTCCTTTCTCCAGGACAGGCTCCGGCACTTCCTTTGTCTTCAGTCCTTTCTCTTCACTCAACACCACGATCGTGCCTCTTGCCCCATCTGTGACCCGGCTCCCTCCTCAAGTACAGCCATCCTTCCTTCCTTCATCATCTCACATCTAGACAGATTACTTCCAGAGCCACTGGGATCTGGCTGTTGCCCCAAGAGGCTGAAACAACTCCTTCCGAGGCCCTCGGGGTCCCGGCCCTCAGCTCCGGCCTCTCCAGATCTCCAAGGAGTCTGCTTGGGATAAGGAACGTGGCTCACTGCTCCCCTGGCCCAAGGCACAGCCGCTCCCTCTGACCTCCGCAGCTCTTTTCTCTTGCAGGCTCTTCCTCTTCCATCCAGCCCAGTGCTGCTCCCTAAGGTTCCAATTTCCACCATTTCACCGTCTCAGTATGACTGCTAGTCCTTGGTTTTACATCCATTCTGTGGCTTTAAATAACAGAGGCCAGCCAATAGCTCCCCAGGTTCTACTCCAGTCCGGACCAGAATCCTGAGCCTCCCACAGACCCAGGTCTACCACAGACAACGAACACCTCACATGCCCTTCCTCAGAAGGACTGTACCATTGTACGTCTCACAACGAACACCTCACATGCCCTTCCTCAGAAGGACTGTACCATTGTACGTCTCACAACGAACACCTCACATGCCCTTCCTCAGAAGGACTGTACCATTGTACGTCTCACAACGAACACCTCACATGCCCTTCCTCAGAAGGACTGTACCATTGTACGTCTCACAACGAACACCTCACATGCCCTTCCTCAGAAGGACTGTACCATTGTACGTATCACAACGAACACCTCACATGCCCTTCCTCAGAAGGACTGTACCATTGTACGTATCACAACGAACACCTCACATGCCCTTCCTCAGAAGGACTGTACCATTGTACGTATCACAACGAACACCTCACATGCCCTTCCTCAGAAGGACTGTACCATTGTACGTATCACAACGAACACCTCACATGCCCTTCCTCAGAAGGACTGTACCATTGTACGTATCACAACGAACACCTCACATGCCCTTCCTCAGAAGGACTGTACCATTGTACGTATCACAACGAACACCTCACGTGCCCTTCCTCAGAAGGACTGTACCATTGTACGTATCACAACGAACACCTCACATGCCCTTCCTCAGAAGGACTGTACCATTGTACGTATCACAACGAACACCTCACGTGCCCTTCCTCAGAAGGACTGTACCATTGTACGTATCACAACGAACACCTCACGTGCCCTTCCTCAGAAGGACTGTACCATTGTACGTATCACAACGAACACCTCACGTGCCCTTCCTCAGAAGGACTGTACCATTTTATGTATCACTGAATCTTCTCCACTGTAGCAGCCAGTGTCTTAGTTTTTATCTTTATCTCTCGCCTGGAAAATTTCAACAGCTTTCCACTTGTTCCTGCTTCCATTCAATCTGAAAGCTAACCCGTCCACCCCACACCACACATATCTTCACTCACACGATCCCACACCATGCACGCCCGCACTCACAAGACCCCACATCGTGCACGCCGGAACTCACGACTGCACACCATGCACGCCCGCATTCACACGACCTCACACTGTGCACATCCGCAGTCACATGACACATCACGTGTGCCCACACTCACCCCACACCGTGCAGGCCCGCATTCACACGACCCCACACCCTGCATGCCTGAACTCACGACGCCACACCGTGCACGTCCACACAACCCACTGTGCACTCACACGATCCCACACTGTGCACATCCGCACTCACATGACCCCACATCACACGTGCCCACACTCACACGACCCCACACCGTGCACTCACATGACCCCGCACCACGCACGCCCGCACTCACGACCCCACACCGTGCACACCCACACGACCCCACAACGTGCATGCCCGCACTGACGACCCCACACCATGCACTCACACGACCCCATACCGTGCACGCCTGAACTCAAGACCCCACACCGTGCACGCCCGCACTCACAAGACCCCACGCCATGCACTCACACAACCCCATACCGTGCACGCCTGAACTTACGACCCCACACCGTGCACACCCGCACTCACAGGACCCCACACCGTGCACGCCCTCACTCACGGGACCCCACACCGTGCAGGACCACACTCACACCACACACCATGCATGCCCGCACTCACACGACCCCACACGATGCACGCCCACACCCCCCACACGCCAGCACCCATGACCCCACACCACGCGTGCCCACATTCACATGACCCCACACCGCGCACACCCACACACACATTACCCCACACTGCAAATGTCCACACATGACCCCACATTGCGCATGTCCGCACTCTCACGACCCCACACCACACACGTCTACACTCACTTTGACCCCATATTGTGCAGGTCTAAACTTACACACCCCACACCACGCATCTACACTCACATGACCCCATATCACGTATGTCTACACTCACAGAGTTTTCTACTCCACTGTCTTTACCAACATGAATTTACTAGTATAGGAAACTGGCCCAGGAAAAGAAAAGTTGCAAGTAACTCAATGGGTCACTTCAGAAACTCTAAAAGCATCACATTACTGTTGATCATCTAACACTCTCTTCAAAGCCATCTCCTCAAAACAAGCATCCAAACTGCCCACCACATTGTCATGATTCTTCATCGGCCAGACGAACCCCACAGGGAACGGCTCGTTTCAACCAGACCCTCAAAAAGTCTCATAAATACCCCGAAGATGCCCCTGCCTTCCCAAACTCTGCTAAGGCTCTGGAAGCTGGTGCCCTCCCCGCCAAGGGCGGCAGTTACTTAAAAGGTTATTCTGATGAGACTTTCAGAGCACGCATTTGACAGATTCACCCTCCACCCGACGACAACCAGGCTTATCCAGGATACACAGGCACTGTATCTTTTATTTAAAGCATCTGATAGCTCTCCCCAGCCTACATGATAAACCCAATTCTAACCTACATACCAGTAGTTTCTCCCATCAGTCCCAACTCTGACTACACGGGGAACACGCATTTTGATTTATGTCCTGCCACTGCTGGTACTTTTCTCCCCTTTCTTCTCTCTTTAGGGAACTCCTTTTTGCCCTTGAAGGCCAAGCACAGACATCACCCTCTGCCAAACCTTCCCTAATTAACCGTTTTGCATGTCCTATTGTTGCTCATTATCAAATTTCAAGAACCGTGTCTAGTTCTTAGAACCTGTACTTAGTAGAGACCAAAGCAAAGTGTAATCATTTCATAGGTGATTCCTAATAAATCAAAAAACCTTTCTGGAAGAGATTTGCCAAAATGTAAAACTTTTTGCAAAACTTTTTTTTTTTTTTGTAAGACTATGCAAAACTTTTCCCTTCCTATTATTTTTTGCATTTTCCAAATTTTCTAAATGATCAGAGAGCATCCTGATAGTTTTATTTTAAATAAAATCAATTGGAACTCTCATTTCTGTGTGAGCCGTTTAAATTTTAAAACATTAGGAGGTTTTGCTGTCGTGCTGGCCCTGGTATCAGTTCCTTGCTCAGTTTGCATCCTGAAATAGTGAAACACAAAGGCTCGGCTGTGTAAGGTTCCACGGAAAGTCTCCTATCCACACCCCAGCAGATTAGCTGGAATGTGTTCTCTAACCTTGTCTACCCATGAGGCAGCAGGCGCTTGGCGCCCTGGGGAGCAGAAGCCCCATGACTCTGTAGGAGCCCTCTGGCTGATGGCTCTTTCTGTAAGCCCCTCCCAGTGGAGGCGGCAAATAGGCTAAGTCTCCCACATGGCAAAATGAGCTCCCTTTTATGTGCGTCCTCGGCTTTCAATGGTGTGACCGGCAACAGCTCTTTGTAGATTTAAAAGACGGCTAAAATTACCTGAAATAGGTTAAAAATAGATTATAATTTTTATAATGCCTGAAATTGCTTGTAGAATTTTACAGTTTCAGCATGGGAGTGGTGCTTTTTAATATCAAAAGGTTTGTTGTAAATTTTGTTTCCTTTTAAAATCTAACCAGAGAGAAAAGATCTAAAAGATAAAATAAGTAAAGATTGGTATACTTACGTAACTGGACAAGTCTTGATTTTCCTGACTCTGAATGGCAGGGCTGGATCAGAGGAGCAAAAGAAACAGCAAGAATCTTTTTGGTTTCCCAAGCTGAAGGACCTGTGCGTGTTATCTTAGTCAACTATCCCAGAGACAAAATGAGAATATTCAAAAGAATTGGCTACTATTTAGCTCATATTTAATCATTCCTATACATACTATAAAAATACATAGAAATGCTTACAATAAAATGAAATATCTTGACATACGGACCCCTAATGTGATGTGCCATGAAGTACATCTACCTTATGAATATTCCTGCAAAGATGCTAACCTGAATATATTCAGGCCCTAGGCCTAACTTCTGTTTACAGAAACTATATATTATAGAGAAACTAGTTATAGGATAGCAAGAGGAAACAACCACATAGACAGTGTGGGGATTCTTATAAGACAATGCTCTAGCACTCTCCAAAAAAGTCAATATTGAGGGTGAAAAGGGGGTCTGTTCTAAAGCAAAAAGTAATTACAGATACGTTACCAACCAACTGAATCCTGACCTGTTGTTATTGGGAGGGTGGCTAAGTCCTGATAGGCACTGTAGTAACAGATACTGTTACAGAATCCCTGTTACTTTTTTAAATGCAAACTTGTCATCTTGGATGCCTGGGCAATTATCCTCATGCTTTGGAGACAAATACTGAAGTGTTTAAATGAGCCTTGCCCTGATATCACCCCCACGAAAGCACCGGAATCTGGTGGCTTAACACACTCCAGTGTAGGCCATCAAAACATTTCTTTTGAATTAAAGTATTACGAGCACCAGAGACCACAATTAGACATGACCCTCTGTGCACTCTGTGTGGCTGGGTCAGTCTCCAAGTGGCCTACACAGGTCACAAAACTATTTCTGGTCAGTTCTTTCATGCTATGATTATATGCTGGCCTTTTCTAAAAATATCTAAGTCAGTAAATCCTCTAAAAACTAAGATTCTATGTCATGAATCTTATAACTAAAAGGATTAAGTCGCCACGTACTAAGTAAATATCAACAAACATTCTTGTATACCAGCAAAACATATGTTTATTTAAACATTTTTAAAAGAATTTCTAGTTACAATGAAAAACAAGTATTTCAATAGAATCAATAAATGATGTATAAAACCTTAAATAAAACTATATAAACCCCTATTTCATATTCTAGATAAGCAGATGAAACATTGTAAAGATGGCCACAATCCTCAAATTATCGAGATGATACAATTCCAATAAAAAATCCAATGCATTTTGTATAGCAACAAAGATCTGTAATATCACTTGTATAAGCAAAGACATTTAAAACAATATTCTGCCAGGTGTGATGGCTCATGCCAACAACTCTGGAGGCTGAGGTGAGGCAATTGCTTGAGGCCAGGAGTTTGTGATCAGCCCAGGCAACACAGTGAGAGCCCATCACTAAAAAAATAAAATTAGGCCGGGCACGGTGGCTCACACCTGTAATCCCAGCACTTTGGGAGGCCGAGGTGGGCGGATCATGAGGTCAGGAGCTCTGAGACCAGCCTGAACAACATGGTGAAACCCTGTCTCTACTAAAAATACAAAAATTAGCTGGGTGTGGTGGCACGCACCTGTAATCCCAGCTACTCAGGAGGCTGAGGCAGAAGAATCGCTTGAACCCAGGAGGCAGAGGTTGCACTAAGCTGAGATCGCGCCACTGCACTCCAGCCTGGGCGACAGAGCGAGACTCTGTCTCTAAATAAATAAATAAATAAATAAATATTTAAAAAATAAATTTATCTGGGCATGGCAGCACGTGCCTATAGTGCCAGCTACTTGGGATGCTGAGGCGGAAGGGTCACTTGAGCCCATGAGTTTGAAGTTACAGTGAGCTATTATCATGCCACTGTACTCCAGCCTGGATGACAGAGCAAGATCTCATCTCCAAATTTTTATTAAAACAATTAAAACCTCCTAATTTTTATTATTTGTGTTTTCCTAGTTCTTTGTGACTGGGAGACATTCTTCTTGGTGACCAATTCATGTCTGATTAATCTGTTCATTTACTATAAACTATTTTTCCCAGTGACATACAGTAACACAGACAAACAAGCATGACCAAACAGCAAACTTGGACAAGACTCTCACTAGGCAAAGGATTCCTGTCAAATGCATAACATCAAGGCATGTAACAATTAGACTAATGATGAGAATAGAATGACTCTATTTTATATATAATTCTAACAGCAGAACAATTATAATAGATTAACAATTAGAATTAAAACTCAGAACAGCTGGGGGGAAGGAGAAGGGGAAGGAAGAGGGAGGTGAGGGGGAAGGGACAGAAGAAGGAAAAAGAGAGAGACAGAGAAGGAAGGTGGAGAAAAGCGTTTCACGTGCAGGCTCTGAAGCACCCACCTGAGTCAGCTTCTGGCCCCAGCTAGGGCATGTGCGTGACCCTGCATCTCCCTCACCTGTCCCTGCCTCTGTTTCCTCATTTGTGAAATGCAGGAAATTGTTAAAAGAGTAAGTATCCGTACACTGCCCAGAACAGACCTTGGCACACAGTGTGCAGAAATGTCAGTTATGAAGGGAATCTGACCTTCTCTTCCAGTGGCATGACAAGGATCCCTCCCACTTTGAGAAGATTCTTCATGTACTCTTCATGCTCTTTCTGCACGCCAGCCCCACAGTATACACGATCATACTGAGAACAATCCGGAGAAATCTCCAGGCAATTCCCAGTAACAAAGGAAGGTTCACAGAAGTCAAACCTGGAAGTAAAAAATGCTTCCTGCAACTAAAAGTATCACATTGCAACAAGTCTATACAGTAAATCTATGCTAACCACAGGTTAAAATCCCACAGCAATGTAACACAGTTTACAGTGTGAGGAGCTGGAAGAAAAGAATTACAAATGTCCAAGAATTACTTCCAAAAAGAATTATACTATATAACTAGAACTCTAGAAATACCAAACAAAATAGTATGAAAGTGAATATCAAAAGTTTTATCCAAATTTCACACAATCTCCAGTCGCTGCTGTCTCTGTCATCTTCTTATCATCTTATGTAAGATCTATTAATACTACACAATGAGTGAGATGTGGGGGTGGTGAAACTGCACTTGGTGTTTCTAAAAATTTTAATCCCTAAAATAAGAACTTTAATGCCTTCTTTTAAAATGGCAAAAGCTAGTTACATATACTGTTTAGAGACAAATGCAACAATTTTATTTTAGGAAAAACTAGGTGGTAAACAGTTGTCTTCAACAGGAAACATGAATATTGAGCAAATGAACACCTTATGTATGTGTAACAGTTTGAAATACCCTAAAACCCTCAAAACACAGAATCTTTTCTGAAAATTAGAACAGGCACATAGAATCATCCCACCACAGTTTAATTATGTTTCCTACCACATGATTTCTTTCTATCTGATCAAAACTTTGTAAAATTACAGTTCACATCATCTGAGCCAATGGATAGTATTTCATCTTACTTGTCAAAACTATCACTTGTTCTGATGAAGAAGTCCAGTTTCTGCTTTGCATACTCTATCACATCTGAGTGAAGTTCCACCCCATGGTTCACACCAAAAGGACCTAAAAGGTTTAAGAATAAGAAAACATGTAGAACCAGAGTAAGAACTCTTGCTCATCTGTTCACTTCTACCAACTGTAACACGTCTGACTTAACATGTGTAACTACAGACATTCACAAAGTTTTGAAGTCTCATCACAGTATCACGGCTCACCACATCGTAAATACTTGAGGCCTGGGCTTCTCTGCTCACAAACTTTTAAAGAATCATTTGAAAATGGAGACAAACCAAGTGTTCAGGTCTTACTAATGAACTAAAGAAGAAACATGTATTTGCAAATGGAACTGACACAGGCCTCACCTGTTTGTCCAGAGGTAACATTTAAGACGATTCTGTTTTCCCTGAAAAGTTGCCCAGAACACTCAGATGTGAGCATTATAATATTCACAAAACAGGGTTCAATCATCATCATTAAGATAAAACTATGCTTCCAAGTCACAATGAAACATTTTTATATCAAAGGATATTTATCAGTAATTTGAAATACAACTGAGAAATGTTACAAGTCCACTTAATGATGACAGTGCTCCCCCGATATAAAACTGCCCCTACGTTAACTGGGAACACAGTATTGACACTCAACTTAAATGGGTCTCTCTGTTGCGGGAATCCACTTACATGAAGGTAAAAATCGGGCAAAATTCATCTTTGCCGACAAAGGCAAAACGGTCATCACCTTTCTGGAAGATGCAACACTGGTGAACTTTCTAGGAGGAGGAGGGGGCATGGGAGCCTTTTGGGGTGCTGATTCAACTCTGCATCTTGCTGTGGCTGGAGTTTATATGGCGGTGGATGCATATGTAAAAGTCCACCAGAATTCACACTTCACACTTGTTCATTTACTATGGGTAAGTTACACGTCAACTTTTTAAATCTACATGTAAAAATCACAAGGCACGTAGGACTTTACTTGGTAGACAGATATACTACTACAGTGATCATGTAGCACTGGACCCTACAATCTAACAGAAATGCTAAGAAATGGGCAACCTTCTGTGCATCCCACACCTTTGCACCGTGTGGGCCCTCCTAGTACAACAGCCACCAGCCCAGGCCAAGGCTTCCCTGGCCCCCATTTGGACAACTGTACCTGCTGCTCTTTTCTCTCCACGTATTTCATACACAGAGCTGCTGCTAAAACATTACCTCGTCAAAATACACCCTACCTGAGAGTTCCCCTTTTCACTGTTTACAACATCAAATCCTGAATTACTCTGAACGTCAAGACCTTCTGACAACTCCGACTTCAATTCCCGACTCTGCCAGAGACCAAAAATAGCGCTTGATTCTTCCCACTCATCTTATTTTCACTGACCCCTCACCTTCACTATCAAACACTTAATAAGCAGTTAATTCTAGTAACAGATATGAGATATGGTTCCTATTCCCAAGAAGCTTAACACCAAACAGTAGTAACACAAATACCTCGACCCACCTGCTTAATACAAAGATGACTAGCAGGGGAGGAGGACACAGGGTGGCCGGGGGGTGTCAGGAACACGGCACCTGGGACTCAGCACTGGAGCACGGCATGAAACCAGAGCAGCGAGGCCCCCCTGGCAGAGCCGCTCCTAGGTCTGCCCTGCTTCCGAATCACCCAGCACTTTTCAGGTAGGTGACTTATGAGCCACCATCTCTTAGTAGCTACTGTATTCTCCCCTGGTTGATGACAAACAAAGGTAAGGACAGCCCTGAGCAAAGGGGAGAGGAGCCCACAGAGCAAGCACAGGAACAGGGCTGACCCAGGATGCCGCTCAGGCCATGCGAAAGGCAGTCGGGGGTCACAGTAAAGAACTCCGTCAGATGAGAGACCCACATCCACAGGCGCCGGGAAGCCAATGAGGTTTCACTCTGGAGTGCTCTGCACCAAGTGCTATTAAGCTTGAATAAAAGCTGCAGCATCTGGAGACACAGCCAAGACACGCATCCATGACAGCAAACCCTGAAGTCACTTCCTTCAACTGCATCAAAGCAGCATGTTACATCCATTACAGCAGAAAACAGGCCTTTCCTTCCTTCAGACCTCTCTCCTCCCAAAATCCAATGAAATTTCCAGTAAACAGGGGATTCAGGAAAGAAAAGCAACTGTATCAAGTTGGAAGGCCTTTCCTTATAACTTCTAGGGGATGTCAAGTACAGCAAGGCCATTTCAGGCTTACTTTTTTTTTTTCTTTTTGAGATGGAGTCTGGCTCCGTTAGCCAGACTGGAGTGCAGTGGCACCATCTCTGCTCACTGTAACCTTCGCCTCCCAGGTTCAAGTGATTCTCCAGCCTCAGCCTCCTGAGTAGCTGGGATTATAGGTGTGCACCACCACACCCAGGTACTTTCTTATACTTTTGGTAGGGACAGGGTTTCACCACGTTGGCCAGGTTGGTCTTGAACTCCAGACCTCAAGCCATCTGCCTGCCTCGGCCTCCCAAAGTGCTGAGATTACAGGCGTGAGCCACCACGCCCCACCATTTCAGGCTTACTTTAAGTCATCTTTTCCTAAGCATTTTGGCTCTTTCCTATAGTATTTCTAATCTAGTCAGCTTGATCACCTATTTCTCCCCAAGGTTCTACCTTAGCTATAGCCCCTATTTTTCAGCTACGTTGGAGGAAATCACAATTCCCAAATTCAAAAATGATAAATAATCTGGGCACTGTGTTCTCTTCTCAAAGCACAGGGATCACAACAGTCTCAATTGAAGAGAAGTTACGGTCAAAAAGCATTATAAAAATCTACACACTTTTACACCTGAAGGTAGCAATCTATAGCATAAAGCCAAAATAATCGGTCTCAAAACTTCACCAAATTCCAATTTATACAGACTTAGAAAAAAAAAACAAAATTATCATTCCATATCCACAAAAATCAATTATAGACGGAGTCTCACTGTCACCTAGGCTGGAGTGCAGTGGTGCAATCATAGCTCACTGCAATCTTGAAGCGATCAAGCGATCCTCCGACCTCGGCTTCCCAAAGGGCTGGGATTACAGGCATGAACCACCAAGCCAAGCCACATTCCTGACGTTTCTTTCACAAGCATATACAGTCCACCCGTAAATCCTGTCAGTTCTAACAGGATTTAGAAAAAATACAGACTCCAGCTTCTCTGCACTGGTTTCATCCAGCGTCTTCTCAGCCAGCTTTGCCTCAGCAGCCTGGCCCCTGCTTCCTGTTTACAGATCAGCTCCTATCACCCCTCCGGCAAAACTTTTCCACCCTACTGAGTTAAAAACAGATGCCTTCCCCGCCCCTCACAGCATTTGGCACCAAGTGATGTTTTTCCTTAGTTATCTGCTATTATTAAAAATAGCCATATTTCCATGTGCAGTCTCACAACTCATTTGTTTGGAAAATAGGCTAAATAGCTTCATAGTGAAATCCCTTCCATCCCTGAAACTAATTTTAAAATCTACAGGTATTACTCTTAGTATTAAAACAAAAAAGTAGGCCAGGCATGGTGGCTCATGCCTGTAATCCCAGCACTTTGGGAGGCTGAGGCAGGTGGAGAGCTGGCGCCCAGGAGTTTGAGACCAGCCTGGGAAACATGGCGAGACCCCGTCTCTAAAAATCATTTAAACATCAGCCAGGGGTGGTGGTGCGTGCCTGTGGCCCTAGGTACTCAGGAGGATTTGCTGGATCCCAGGAGGTCAAGGCTACAGTGGGCCTTGCTCGTGTCACGGCACTCCAGCCTAGACGATGGGGCACAACTGTCAAAAAAAAAAAAAAAAAAAAACCAACAAAACAAAAACTGCTTAGAAGTACTCCGAAAGGACTTTCAAGTTAATTACCATCGATTTAGAGAAGGAGTGACAAGGAAGAATGAGTGATAAAATTAAATCGAGAAATCACAGTGGGGTCAAGATTTACACAACTGTCTTTATCCTCCGCTGTCCAGAGGGCAGGTGCGCAGTACAGGCTGTGGCAGCACAGGAAGAGGGGACAGAGAACAGGAGAGGTCCCTCTGGAGAATCCGGGGCCCATGAGATGCATGCAGGCCTTCCTCCCTCATCCCTCTATCCACCACCCAGTGATGTGTCAATGTCAGATAACTACTGGGAAGGCTGCGGTCTCGACCCAGGCAGGCCATTAGCAGACTACATTTTCTGTCAAAGGAGATGCCTCCTTCCCTGAGACAGATGAGTTTTCAGACTCTCCTTCCACACTTACCTAGAATGAGGCCCACCATGGAGCTGAGATACCCAGTGCCACTGCCCAGGTTCAGAAACGAGAGTCCAGGCTGCAGATCTAGGGCTTCCATCACCTCCGAGTAGATGCACGGGGCTGAGAGGTGAATGTTTCCATGCTTCCATGCCAAGTCTTTATAAGCATTTTCTTTAAATTCTTCAAGATAATAGTCTGCACGATCGATAGCTCTGAAAGCCTGCTCTACCAGCTCAGTCCGGATATACTGTGCTTCTTTCAAATTATCTATCAGCTCATCATTGTCTTCACCAGCACTCACAGCACCGCCCATGTTCAAGATTACACT
Source organism: Homo sapiens (assembly GCF_000001405.40). NCBI lineage: Eukaryota > Metazoa > Chordata > Mammalia > Primates > Hominidae > Homo > Homo sapiens. Next base: position 168,541 of record NT_187624.1, on the reverse strand, counting down.
TAGGCAATACTATAATTAAAAATGTTTAAAAAGAGCGATTTATGTTAAAGGTAAGAGCAGAACAATAGAAGTTCTAAACAGATACCAATTTGAAATTCTGAATTCTGAAAATAATAGATTATCTTTTGTCAACACCCACCTCATCCCCTGCCCCACCCAGAGATGCCAGATTTAGAAGGAAAAAAAATCCCAGTTCAATTGGAAATTAAGGTAAACAACAATACTAAAAGTTATTTGACGTTTATTTGAAATTCAAATTTAGGCCGGGTGCGGTGGGTCATGACTGTAATCCCAGCACTTTGGGAGGCCGAGGCAGTTGGATCACCTGAGGTCAGGAGTTCAAGAACAGCCTGGCCAACATGGTGAAACCCCGTCTCTACTAAAAAATACAAAAATTAGCCAGGCATGCTGGTGGATGCCTGTAATCCCAGCTACTGGCGAGGCTGAGGGAGAAGAATCACTTGAACCCGGGAGGCAGAGGTTGCAGTGATCAGAGCTCGTACCACTGCACTCCAGCTTGCGGAACAGAGCAAGACTCTGTCTCAAAAAAAAAAAAAAAAAAAAGAGAAAAGAAAAAAAACTTTAGGTGGTGTCCTATATTACATCTGGGAATTCTATATCCCCAACATACACAAAAGTACCCACCCAAGTCAAGCAATCCATCTGACCTGTTGATTTGGATATTTTGATGTTCAAATTTTAGACAAAAACAGCAAGAAAACACTCTTCCCAAATTGAACGTACTGTGACAAATACCTTTTTCTAACAAATGCAAAATCAGCTTCCTGGCTAAAGTTTAAGTGTAGGAGGGGCTGCTACCAGAACTTCCTACAGCCCCTCCTCAATTGCATGATACGCAGCTTTCCCAGCTCTTTAAAAATAACAACTACTTGTCTTACCTTCTCCCAACCTGCCTTCAAGAAGAAAAAGCACAGCATGTGTCACCTCTGAGCCTAACTATTAAAATACAGGGTAGCTTCAGCTAATTCACAAGAAAACACTTTTTCACGCGGAGAAGTCTTACTCTTCTTAAAACTACAAAAATATCCTTTCCAATTTTATACTTACCCCATGTAACTTTTTCAAAGTAACTGCTTTAACTTCATATAAAATGGTAATGCTTTACAAAACACCAGATACAAATTGTCAGGGAAAAAGACCACCAGACCTCATGAAGACATTTTCTGAAATGAACACAACCTTTTTAACAACTTGTTATAATTATGATGAAGTTTATACTTGCTTTCCTCCTCACATTCCTCTGGATTTCTAACAGTAGAATGAGGATCGTAAAGAAATACTGTGGGGTGACAAGGGGCCTGGGGCGGATTTCATACACACCCACGTACACAACTGGAGACAGCGGTGGGAGGTTTTCCCAGGAATGAAAATAATCACATAGTTTCTTACAAGTGAACAAAAAGTGTGAAGGGTATAGCTTAACACAAATTCTCTTCTATTTTTATGGTGGAACACTCAATCTTCACACTCAAGATTTTAGAGCTGAATATTAGGTTTTGCAAATCAATAGGATGGTCCAGTCATTAAATTTTCACACCCTTTTTGAATTTTTTGAATTGTTTCGGAGCCCTTGTTAGATTACGGTCCACAGCCAGCTGACTTAGACTTAGATGGAATTAAGTCCTAATGAGGTCAACTTTAATCCTGGATAAGCCACTCAGTTCTGAGGCTGCACCCTAGCCTACCACAGTCATCTTAAAATTTGGGTCAGTGGTTAAAAGCGGAATCATGTGTTTGGATGCTTAAGGGTCTATTTAGGAAAAGAGCTGGAAAATCGCATACCGTCCTCAGTCAAAGCCACCTCTTCACCCAGAAGCCTGTATATAATGTTCCAACATTGTCTCAATGCCACATCTCTAGAAGGTAACCTCAAACTGTATGTTGGATAGGTTTCATTTTCCACTAAGTAACTATCACTTATTTTGAACTCTGCCTTAATTTGAAAGTTCAGACAGCTTTTTAGTAAAAACAAGCACCTTTTTCCAGGTACCACCTGCCAGTCATGGCCTCATTTACACTTCACAACATTAAGAAGCAAATTGGAGCTGGCCGGTTAATTTGTTCATGATCACATAGCCAGTTTGTGAGGAGGGGGCTGCATTCAAACCCAGGACTGTATGGCAAAAGGCCTGTGTTTTTAATACCACACCAGTGCAGCTTTTAAAAATACTCAAGACAGCAACGTTCTTTACCACACAACACACCGGTAACCTTTTGACGATGGGGTAACCCTATCTATACCTATTGCCACTGGTAGGATCCATGTGAATAGCTGTGGGGTCTGATATTTATTACCATCTTTGTCTGGTAATCTAACACTCCCTCGCACTGAAAACCATCGATATGATCAGTCATGATGTCACCAAAAACACCGACAACAAAGCTCTTCGCCAAACCAAATCCTATCATTTTCACCCAGATTCTACAATCTGGTCAAATCCAATTTTTCAAAGTAAAAGTGTAGAATCATTTTTAGAACGCTGCACTCGATGATACTGTGCACATTGTCTGCTGTAATTAATCCTTAATATAATTCACTACTCTGTGGTAACTAGCAACAGTCCATAACAACCTGGCTGCTCCTTACAATGCGAACTGCCAGGGCACATGAAGAACACTTGCTGAGTGGCGACAGGCATGGGAAGGTCTCAGAACTGACACCTGAGTTGTGATTGTGGCTGTGTCAACACAAGCATGAAGCTATGGTAGTGGGGTTTTGGGAGGCGACATACGGAAGATCACATTCCAACTTGGATGTCACTTCTTTAGGGTAATATGGACAAAGTAATTCATTGTGGAAGATGAGTGGGGAAAAGGACCCAAAGCCACATCTCCTTTGGGCAGAATGATCAAACAAACACACAAACAGATTTCTCACCTTGAAAACCAGAACTCTTACAAGCAATGCAAAGGGACTTTTTTCAAATACAGATGGTCTCCGACTTCGGATGGTTCGACTTCAGGTTTAACGATGTGTTTACTGGGATGCGACCCCACCGTAAGCCGGGGAGCACCTATACTTGAAAGGCTGTCACATGTACACTATTAATGGGCCTAACAAAAGCCAGACCAGTGGTACATGTTGGAGACAATGCCTACTAAATACACAGAGAAGCTTTCTAACAAATGAAGTTGCAATGAATGAAAGGAGCTCTTGATAAGCCCAGCCAAGTTCCACTGGAGGTACGAGCTGGGGTGGCGCAGGGAGCAAGGCCCTGGATCGGTCACCTCTGAGGTCTCCTCTCATCACCTGAGTGTAGGGCTCTATTTCCCCCAAGCGTGGCCACAACAATTTCTGAGTTGCTTATAGGCACCTCAACTTCACTCATTCTTGAATGACAGTCTATCAAACGCCCAGATAGGAGCTGTTTAGCCATTCCCTTGAGAAGAAAAATGAAAACTATTCTAGTCACACGAGTAAAGAGGGGGTGGATAAAGAGGGCGTGGATATTTAGGTGACTTATTTGAGGTGCAACGCTGGAGCAAACATTCATTTAGGAGACACGTCCCTCTCACAAAAACAAAACAAAGGCCCGAAGCTCAGGCAAGTTCTCCTTCCTCCAACTAACAAAGATCTCTTTCCATGCGTGAATTGAAGTCCCAGTGCTCTGCTCCAATTCTTACTATCTCCAAGGCACGGGGCGGGGGGGCGCAATTATTTTTTTAAAAAATCCTGTCATCTTCTGAAAGGGTCCAAGGCAGACTTTGTTCTAAACCTTAGCTCTTGGCTTGCCTTGGAACTGCAAACGTTTCCCACTTGGGAAGTCAAAGACAAGCTGCAGGTCTGGACTAACCAGACCCAAGAGTGTGAGTGAGCAACGGGCACCGGGAGAGACCGACGGGAAACCGCGAGCGCTCGGAGAGAGAAACGCGGGACGCCCTGGAGGCCGCTGGGGGGAGGTGAGGGTGCCCGAGGTGGGGAGGAGCGACGCCCCCAGAGGAGAGCTCCGGGCGCAGGGGTGCCGGGGGTGGGGAAGGAGGAGGGAAGGGGCCGAGGGGACACACCACCCGCTCGCCGCAGGCCGGACCGAGGGGCGGCGGCGGCGGCGGCGGCTCTACCTCCAGGCTCGGCCGGCCGACGGGTTCGGACCGCCTGGGCTGCCACCTGCAGCTCCTCGGGCGCGTCCCTCGTGTGTCCGCGGCCGAGCAGCGCCGCTCCAACCTCGGCCGCCGTAAACATCCGCCGCCGCCGCCGCCGCCGCCGCCTCTGCGCCTGCGCACAACGGCCTGACTGCGCATGCGCCGCGGGCCTGGCACTTAAAGGGGTGATGGCGGCGCAGGGCGGGCCCCACTCCCCTGGGCTGCCTGCGTCCGCCCGCCCCGCTGAGAGCTCGCTGAGCCCTAGGCCGGGTCCGAGTCTCGCGGGCGCGCCGTCCGCGCAGTGCTCAGCCAGGACGGACCCCGCACGGGCTGCCTCAGAAGCCCTCCCTAAGGGTCACCTGAGACGCCTTTGCTGACCCACGGCTGGGGGCGTTCCGCATCTCCAGGGTGCCCTGCGGCTGCTGACTCGGGGCCGGCGCTGCCCTCGGGCGGCCTCCCAGCACCAAGCACAGCCGCCCTGGGACCCCCGCCCTGCCACGCGGACGGCCACCCGGCCCTGGGGCCCTCCTACCCAGCCGGCTTTGTGAAATCAGCTGTGAAAGGAAGATATCCTGGGCCCCCAAGATCACTAAGGAAAACTCCAGCAGGAAACTGCTTAGGGCAGGCCTGCTTCCCATTCCATTCAAAGTCACTCCTCTGCTCACTTAGATAGATACATATCTGATTTGCCTCCTTTGAAAAGGCAAATGAGAAACTCAAAAGAATTTAACCGTTGGTGTCTCACCTATCTGTGGCCTGGACGCTCCCTCCCCGCTTGGAGTCTTCCTGCCTTTGCTTCAAGTTGTCCCGTCTTTCCAGACCGAACCGATGTGCTTCTTACATGTATCGATGGATGTATCCTGTCTCCCTAAATGTATAAAACCAAGCTGTGCCCCGACCACCTTGGGCACATGTCAGGACTTCCTGAGGCTGTGTCACGGGCGCGTCCTCACCCTTGGCAAAATAAACTTTGTAAATTAACTGAGACCTGTCTCCCATTTTCTGGGTTCACACAGCCCATTGCCCAAACTTCGCGTGGGGCTTTGCAGATAGGCTGTAGCTGCAGAACCCTTTCTTCAAGCACAGCCATGCAAGCCGCCTCATATGTGCAAGTGCCAGCGTCGCTGGGGCGGACGAGTGGGCCTGGGTCTCCGGTTCCCGCCTCCCTCCTAACTCGGCATTCCTCCCCAGACCCTGGAGCTCCACTTAGGAGCAGAGTTTGAAAACCAAAGGCCGGTGCCTTCACCACGTTATGTGGTCCCAGGGAGACCTCACTTCTCTTGTTGATCCATGGTCCTGGATCCACGGACCTGAGGTGGCCCACCACCTCATGACCTTCATGGGGCTCTCAGTGTCCTTCCACCTGAGAGCTTGTGGTTATTTGTGACTGTTTCAAATTACAGAAGCCCTGGAGTCATCCTTGACTCTCTTCCTACTGCCAGGGGACACGTCCTCCATACATCCCTCCTTGCCCTGTCCCAGCTCCCCTCACCTCTCCCCACCCCTCCCACCATTCCCCTGGGCTCTGGCGAGTGGTCCTCCTAAAACAGGTGATCACATCACTGCTGTCTTCAGACACTCCCTTTGTTCCTGGACCCAACTGAGGGTCGGGCTACTACTTCTCCTGGCCCAATAACAAGATGCAAATGAGCTGGAGAGTAAGAGAGGTTTTATTTCTGTAACCGGTTACAAGGAGAAGGCCTGGAAATTATCACCATACCAACTCAAAATTACAAAGTTTTCCAAAGCTCGTATACCTTCTAAGCTGTATGTCTACATGTAAGTGTGCATTCATCTACAGACATAAGTGATTAACTTCTTTTAATCTATGACTAAGGTTGAGTCCTGAAGACCCTCTTCTGGAGCCTCAGTAAGTTTACTTAATCTAAATGGGTCTAGGTGCTGGGGTGATTACCCTTATCTTGTCTCCTGCTAAATCATAATGATATGGGGAATTCCTTTAGACCCCCATAAACTTGTTTGTGGAGGCCTGGGGAGTTTCTTCAGATCCCTAATACAACTTGTTTAATCCTAAAAAGGGTCCTGTTAAGAGTTCCTTCGTTATCTTGTCATGCTTCAAGGCCCAGGAAGAGCCTAGGCAAAACTCTTGGTGGGCTCTTTGTTACATTCCAACCTTTGTATAAGGGCATTGGCTCAATCAGCTTTTAATGTTTAACCTGGCTACTCAGTCCGTGCTGGGACAGCTGTAATGGAGGCCTGCGTTAGTGAGACCCGGCCTGCCACAACTTCAGACTCTTGCTTGGTTTTCCAAGGTGTCTCCACCATTCCCCTCCACATCAGCTTCCACTACCATCAGCATTCATAACCCTTCACAGGGTATATACTGAGCACTCTACATGGGTTATTTCCATGAAATAGGTACTAGTATGACCTCCAAGAAGAAAAGTGGACCGTGACATCAGGAGCTGGCCTGGCACTCAGATCGAGGCCATGGGGTCTCCTGTTGGACATAAATAATTTTGTAGAGGAGCACCATCATGATCCAAGGCCACGTCATAATTTTGTCTAAGCACAAACAAAAACAGGGTAACTGTGCCACCCACAAAATCTAAGACATATCATCTCCAAGTTAGTAACAATGACCCCCGCTCCTCTACCAGCTACAGCTGAGCCTCCCTCTGCCCTGGCCTCCTCACAGATAACATCTACTGAGATGCCCAGAGAACCACCCTTTCCCCCCATCCACTCCCCCAATTCCTGACAGCATCTAATCCATGAAAAAAATCACCCAACTCAAGCCCATAACCTTTAGTAACTTTTCCCGACACCTCTTACTGAGATGCCTTGCAGTTCTCCATGATCTGCATCCCTCTCGCTGCAATGAGTGATAATCCCAACTCATTCAATTACAGGCAGGTTCCTGGCAGCCTTTGGCTTGACGACACTGATACCTCCATTTTACAGATGAGGGAACTGAAACTGCAAGAGGTTCGCTGGCTTCTTGTACTTACCAGCTAGTAGTAAGCACAGGAAGGTGGATGGGAATCCAACTGCTGCTGTCACCCTCCTCCAGGCTTCTCCCACACCCAGCCACGGGGAGCTTTCTGAGTATGTCTTCAGTGTCCCCTCGCCTATCCCCTTGCATCTCTCCACTCATCTGTGTTGTATCTGCAGGAGGAGCCTCGGACGGAGGGAAGGTCATGCAAGGGCCTGAGGCAGGGGTGCGGCTGGGTATCTGGGGAGCAAGTAGCTAGAGCCACATGTGGGAGGTTGTGTTGTTGTCTTCGAAATACACTATTCTTACTATGGTAAAGTATACAAAACATTTATCATTTGAACCATTTTTAAGTGTACATGAAGTACATTTACACTATTGTGCAACCTCACTACTATCCAGCTCCACATTTTTTTCATCATGCCTAACTGCAACTCCATACCCATTCGTGTTAAAAATTCTCACCCAGCTGGCTGAGCACAGTGGCTCACACCTGTCATCCCAGCACTTTGGGAGGCCGAGGCGGGCGGATCACGAGGTCAGGAGATTGAGACCATCCTGACCAACATGGCGAAACCCCGTCTCCACTAAAAATACAAACATTAGCCGGTCATGGTGGCACATGCCTGTAATCCCAGCTACTTGGGAGGCTGAGGCAGGAGAATAGTTTAAACCAGGGAGTCGGCGGTTGCAGTGAGCCGAGATCGCACCACTGCACTCCAGCCTGGGCGACAGAGTGAGACTCCATCTCAAAAAAAAAAAAAAAAAAATTCTCACCCAGCTAGTAATAGAGAGAGGGGCATTTCCTCAACTTGATAAAGAACATCTACAGAAAACCAACAGCTAATATCATACTTAATGGTGAGAAAGTGGACCCTTTCTCCTTAAGATCAGGAACAAGGCAGGAATGTCCCCTCTCACTACTTCTGTTCAACATCATATAGAAGTCCTAGCTGATGCAATAAGACTTGAAAATAAGGGTTACAGATTTAGAAGGAAGAAATAAAACTGTCTTTTTGCACAGGTGGTAAGATTAACTGTGTATTATACCCTGAAGAATCTCCAATAAAACTCCAGAAACTAATAACTGACTACAGCAAGGTTGCTGGATACAGCAGTCCCCCCCCTTATCCTTAGGGGATATGTTCTAAGACACTGTTGGGGATATGTACCAAACTCTATAGTACATATAGGAATGCTTGAAACCAGGGATGGAATCAAACCCTATATATACTATGTTTTTTCCTACATATGGATCATCTATGATAAAGTTTAATTTATAAATTAGGCATAGCAAGAGATTAACAACAATAACTAATAATAAAATCGAACAACTATAACAATATATTGTAATAAAAGTTACATGAGTGTGGTCTCTCTGTTAGCTACTAAGTGATTAATGGGCAGGTAGTGTATATGGCATGGATATGCTGAACAGAAAGGTGGCACACGTACTGGGTAGCATGGAGCAGGACGGCACGAGATTTCATCACACTACTCAGAATAGCACATGATTTACAATTTATGAATTATTTCTGTAATTTTCCAATTAATGTTTTTGAATTGTGGTTGACTGCAGGTAACTGAAACCATGGAAAGCAAAACCACAGATGGGGGACTACTATGTAAGGTTATAAACAAAAGCCAGTTGCTTTCCTATATACCAGCAATTAACAATTGGAATTTGAAATTAAAAATACAATACTGTTTACAATAGCACCAAAAAATGGGATGCTTAGGCATAAACCTAACAAAATAGGTACAAGGTCTATATGAGGAAAACTACCAAACTCTCATAAAAGACATCAAATATTTACATAGACAGATATTCCATGTTTATGGAGAGGAAAGCTCAGCAGTGCTATCAGTTATTTCCAACTTAATCTGTAGATTCAATGCAACACCAATCAAAATCTCAGCAAGTTATTTCATGGATATCAACAAACTGATTCTAAAGTGCATATGGAAAGGCAAAATGCCCAGAATGGCCAACACAGTACTGAAGAAGAACGAAGTTGGAGAACTGACACAACCAGATTTCAAGACCTATAACGTTACAGTAATCAAGACAGTGTGGTGTTGGCAAAAGAAGAGACAAACAGATCAATGGAATAGAATAGTAAACCCAGAAATACACCTACACAAATACAGTCAACTGTTCTTTGACAAAGGAGCAAAAGCAATTAAATGGAGAAAGAATAGTCTTTTCAACAAATGATGCTGGGACAACTGAACATCCATATGCAAACAAAAAACCAAAAAACTACACATAGATCTCAAACTTTTTACATAAAAGTTCTACAAAATAATATAGGAGAAAATCCTGGTGGTCTTGGGTTTAGTGATGACTCTTTTGACAAGTCAAACACACAATCCGTGAAAGTAAAAATTGGTAAGGTAGATTTTGTTAAAATTAAAACTTCTGCTCTGTGGAAGACACAAGTCTTACCTTATGATCCAGCATTTGCACTCCTAGGTGCTTACTCAACCACTATGTCCATGCAAAAAGTTGCACATAGATTTTTATAACAGCTGTATTCACAGTTTCCAAAATTTGGAAACAACCAAGATGTCCTTCAACAGGTGAATGAATAAACAAACTCATACATGCTAAGCAATGGAGTATGAATGAATGATAACAAGAATGAGCTCTGAGACATGAAAAGACAAGGAGGAAACTTAAATGCTTATTGCGAAATGAAAGAAACCAGGATAAAAAGGCTACATATTAACACTATATGATTCCAGTGATATGACATTCGGGAAAACTGAAAACTGTAGAAACTGTGAAAAGATCAATGGTTGCCAGGGATTGGGGTTGGAGGGAGAGGGAGAGATGAACTGGCAGAGCAGAGAGGGTTTTTAGGGCACTGAAACTATTCTGTATGATACTGTAATGGTGGATACATGTTATTATGCTTTAGTCAAAACCCATATAACTAGCCAGGTGCTGTGGCTCATGCCTGTAATCCTAGCACTTTGGGAGGCTGAGGCAGGAGGAGTTCAAGACCAGCCTTGGCAACATAGCGAGACCTCGTCACTACAAAAAAAAAAAAAAATTAGCCGGGCATAGTGGCACATGCCTGTAATCCCAGCTACTCTGGAGGCTGAGGTAGGAAGGATCGCTTGAGGCTGGGAGGTGAAATCTGCAGTGAGCAGTGATTGTGCCACTGCACTCCAACAGAGCCTGAGCCTGTCTCCAAAAAAAAAACAAAAAAAAACCCACAAAACAACAACAAAACATGTAACTGCAACACAAAGAGTGAACCCTAATGTGAACTGTAGACTAGACTTTAGTTAATAGTAATGCATCAATATTGGTGTATTAGTTGTTATAACATACCACAGTGATTCCAGATGTTAATAATAAGGAGAGGGGTCTATGGGAACTCTTGGTACTATCTGCTCAAATTTTGTGTAAACCCAAACTGCTCTCAAAAATAAACTTTGTCATTTATTTTAAACAATGAAAGATTTTTCTCAGACATACAAAGCTAAAAGAATTCATTAGCAGACCAACACAATGTGAAATGTTAAAGGGAATTTTTCAGGCAGATAGCAAATGAAGCAGATGGAAGAGTAGCTCTACATTTAAAAAGGGACTCTGGAAATGAGACTCCATGGGTAAATATGTAAGGTTAATTTCTTAGCATGTCTCAGCTCTGGCTAAGGACACAACTTCTCATTTAATTTACTTCTGTGATGTTTGTTTGTATGATGGACAATGTCGCTTTTGCAATGACAATTAAAAATTTTTTTTTTATCCTCTAAGGGTTTTACAACAAGTGCCCCATTCTTTGTTTGTTTGTTTGTTTTAATGGAGTCTCACTCTGTGACCCAGGCTGGAGTGCAGTAGTGCGATCTCTGCAACCTCTGCCTCCCGGGTTCAAGCGATTCTCCTGCCCCAGCCTCCCGAGCAGCTGGGATTACAGGTGCCCGCCACCATGCCTGGCTAATTTTTTTTGTATTTTCAGTAGAGACAGGGTTTCACCATGTTGACTAGGCTGGTCTCAAACTCCTGACCTCAGGTGATCCACCGGCCTTGGCCTCCCAAAGTGCTGGGATTACAGGCGTGAGCCACTGTGCCCGGACAGCACCCTGTTCCTGAGGAGGAGCTCCGCTCCTGAGTACCAGACAGTGGCTGCCTCGCCATTTCCCTGCTCAGTACTTGGTGGTGGTCAGGGGTGGCTGAGACAGGAGTGGCTGGATGAAGGCGAATCAGAACAAGACGCTCGGATGGACGCTGTGCCAGGGGTTCTCCCCCCATGCTGAGCAGAAAGCTTTCACAAGGGAAGTGGGTGGATGTGTGGATAGGCCCCTGCAGCAGCCGCCCTACGTCCTCAGCCCCTTCCCTGCCACTCTTCCAACGTCTCCTGGGTGCTTTTTGCAGTCCAGTGAAGGGGCAAGGTCTCATGCCCGCTCTAGGTGTCCTGGGCCTCTGAGATACTTGCCCTCGGTCTTATGAAATGCAGGCCGGCTCTGTCAGGGCCTCAGGGGCAGGGGACCGGCACTGCTAAGGAATGGCCTTACGCCTGGTCTCTCTCGCCTCCGGGTGGGCGGGGGGTGCTCACATGAGGAATTTACCTTTACGCCTGGTCTCTCGCACCTCTGGGTGGCTGGGGTGGGCGGGGGGCGGGGGGGGGGCTCATATGAGGAATTTACCGCAAGGTGTCACCGCTGAACAGCTGCTGTCTTGGGAGGAGACAAACGGGGTCATCTGGAAGGGGAAGTCCTTCTTCCTCATCTTAAGCCCCGTAGCCAGAGTGGAACAAGCCAGTCTGTTTTCCGACATCCGTCAAAGCTTCTGTGCTATTCATGCCACACAGGTGACAGCAGCTTGATGCTGATCTGAAAATACCGGTGAACTCGAATGTATTCACGTACATAAAACGGTTGGGCATTCCCAACTGTCTTAAAAATTATTTCTCATCTTAAAACAAACCACTTTACGTGGGCATAGGGAAGAGGTCTGCAGCAGCCAATTTTATATCAACTTTGCTGGGCCTATGTAAGAGATACATATGTATCCCCTATTGGTTCTGTTTCTCTGGGGACCCTGGCTAATACAGGGTCCTCACAAAGAAGTGGTGTCAGACCCAGGGCCCAGAGCCCTGTCCACAGCACACCTGAGGTGGGAGTGCCTTGAGCTGACACCCACACTTCTTAGGATGTGGGACCCAGGGTTCCTGGTGACATTGTCCCCTGTGCCAGCTCTTCCACCACTCCTCACTCCTCACTGCCTCTTGTGAATTGTGAAAGGAAAACCCGGAGGGGAACATGTGAGTGGGTATCGGCCTTGAAGAAGGAGGGGCCGCCCCAGAAACGTCTTACTGCAACAGGTGGTGGACCAGACTAGTCGTGAGGACGAGGTGGTAGCAGAGGATGTTTCCACTCCCTGGGCACCAGGTGAGTGGCAGCTGGACCTGGAGGTGCAAACAGGAGGGCCTTGGGTAGCACTTCCGAACCAGGCTGGCAGCTGTTGTCAGACATCCGGTAGCCAGCAACCCACCAGGGGCAGATCTCGAAGCCAAGAGGAGCGGCTGGTATAGATGGGAGATGCAGGGATGTCCCTGAAGTGTCATAGGTGGGTGAGCTGGGACCACAGTGCACCTTTGCAGGATGGCTTTATGTGGCAGGCAGGGGTGCCAGGCACAGGGAGAGGTACCCAATTGCCAGCTGTCTGGAGAGCGAGCTCCAAGTCAGCTTCTCCCGGGCAGCCCAGTCCTGGGATCTGGGTGAGGAAATGCAATGTGGAGCCCCCTGCCCTGTCTCAGCACTCATCCAGATGTCCCCAGTGACTTGAGGCCGGCCCTGGACTTCCCCTCCCTCCCTCCACTCAGCACTGTTTGCCTCAAGGGCAGATTGCTCTCTTGACCCTGGGCATCCAGGGTTAGTATGACAAGACCCTCATCTCAGGGATCTTGTGCAGACAAATAAACCAGAAAACACATCAGCAAGATCACTCCACTGCCCCAGACCCGCAGTGTTTGCATCTCACACAGCGTCAAAGTCTGGCCGTGGCTGAACTCCCTTATCCCTCATGCCTCCCGCTGCCCCTGCCCCTTGGCCAGCCTCACTGGCTGGCACCCTTCCTCCCTCCCACCAGGGTCCCTGCCCCTGCCTCAGACACCCCCAGGGCTGGCCCGCGCCTCCCTCAGGTCAAGTGCAAACTCCCTCAGGGGGGCACCCGTGACCACCATTGTGCCCCATTTTCTCCCCATGCTTTCTGTGTAGCTCTCTTCACCAAATATGGAGGCAGATGAGGCTGGAGAATCTGCCTCCATTTCGAGGAGCCTTCGTGGTCTCCAGCCAGTCCCACCTGCTCTGGGGAATTATCAGATTGTCCCCAGAGGCAATGACATCTACCTGGCCTCCCCTGGCCTCTTCTTTAGGCATCCTGACTGGGGACCCAGATGGTTCCCAACTCTCCTGAGGCTGGAGCAACCCAGCAATGAGCTCCCATCTTTCCCTGCCCTGCCAGGCAGATTCTTCCTGGTGCCTCCTGCCCTTCCCACTGGACTAGGGACCACAGCAGCCCCTTCTCCTCTGGCCCCTTGGATACCCACTGGATCCTACTGCTCTGTGCAGATCCGCTCTTCTCCTCCTGAATATGCTGCAGACACCATCATGTGGTTCCGAAGGCGCCAGCTCTGGAGTCAGGGGCCTGCGGCAAACCCCGGCTGCACAGCCAAGCCCTGTGTGACTCTGAGTGGCCTTCTGGGCCTCCCTGGGCCTTGGTTTCTTCATCTGCATGATGGGGACAATCCTATTGCTTGTATCACAGGTGGTTGAGAGGTGGAAGGAGCCCAAATGTGTAGAAAGGGATAAGATTCAATAATGGTCAGTCTTTATTTCTCCTTATCTGCTCAGAGCTGAGCCAAGTAGGACTTCTATGTGGGGTGGGAGTTAGGGCAGCCATAATGGAACCCTTCTAGATTTGGTGCCTGATGGGTTCTGAGATTATCCACCCATCAGGGGTCCCAAGCAGTGGCCCAGGGGATATGGGGTGGAACCCGCAGCACTTCTCGTTGGTCTTTCCTAGGCAGCAGGTTGGTTCTCACATGGCTCCTCGCCATCTTTAGTCATAAATATTACCAGATTTGACTTCTGCTATTTTGACAACTTCTACAGAGAGAGCTGTGACCGAATTAAAGACAAGGAAAACACTTTTGACAGTGTATGAAATAAATAGGCAAAAGTGTGTCTAATTTGGCAAAAGGTGCCCCATGAGCAGAGATGAATGGGTCCCATGAAGAGGGTTCGCTGGGTGCTGGAGTGGTGGCTGCAGTTTGCTGCTCACCCTCCTGCCCCTGGGCTCCTGTGGGTCAGGGGACAAGGCTTCACAGGCACCCCCTGCCCCCCCAGCAAGGTTTCTCACCGTGGGAGTGGTGGGTGCTCAGGGATGGCTCTGCAGGGCTGAGACTGTACCACTTCCTCCAACCTCGTGGGGCTCCCAATGTGCCCCTCAAGACCTACACTGGCTCACGAGGCTGCCAGGGGTGTGGCCAGTTCTCAGGAGCTACAATCAGCCCAAGTAGACAGCTCAGGAAACTGTGATGCCAGTTACTGGGAGGGGCTCTCTAGGAGCTCAGGGGAGTCACTGTGTCCACATGCTGGGCAGGGCACAGACTGTGCTGTTGTGCACGTATCCCTGCGTGGCTTTCCCCAGGATCCAAAATAACCATCCATTCTTCCCCCACATCATACACCTGCCCTAGTCAGGGCTGCTCTATGGTTGGCCCCATGGGGTGGCACATAGCACAAGCTGGGTGCTCCACAGGGGCATTCACATTCATGTGGCACATCAGGCAGTTGTGGCCCCTGTTGGCAACTCCCGTATGGCCATGTGACCTTCAGCTGGGTGAGTGAAGACCAGGGGCTGATGGGGGTTGGTATCTTGCTGGGCCCAGAGAGGACCAGGTGGGCGTAGCGAGCAGGCTGTTGTGGTCACCCAGGCATGTGTCCTGATGCCTCTGGGGCATCCAAGTGCATACCCAGAAGGTACTAGAGCCAGGGAAGAAAGGATTGGGGGACAGTATGGGAGTTCTCTGCACACAGCAGACATCAGCCTTGGGAATGAGAAGAAAGGGGCTGGGACATAGGCTGGGACAGCCCTGAGGCAGCTGCAGGGTAGGGTGGAAATCAGGAAGGAGGAGAGGCCAGGAGCACATAAGCAGGTGGGAGGAAGATACAGTAGAGGGAGAGGAGGAGGCAGCCATAGCAGGTGCTGGAAGAGGAGAGGCCAGGCTTTAGAAAAGTCAGCACACACGGAGACCTGCATGCTGCAGACACTGAGAGGAAAGAAAGAGAGGCAGAGACAATGGGAGCAGCCAGGAGGGATGGTAGGGTTGGGGTGCAGTGAGGGCCAGAGTGGCTCAGAGCATAGCTCTGCCAAAGGTCAGCTGCCTGGCACCAGCCCAGGCCACCCACGATCATGGATAAGGGTGCCCTTGTGAAGACTTAAGACTCCATTAGAGAAGTCCACACTCCACCTCCATATTTTAAGAAGGACAGAGGGAATGGCACAGATGCTATAACCCCTGGGAGCATGGATGGCCTGTGTTGCAGGATTCACAATCAGCTGACAGTTAGGAAACCCTCCACATCCATGTCTTTAGCAGCCTCTGAGAGGCTACTGGCTTCAGGGAGACAGAGTGGTTAATAGGAAAAATCTCACCTGAACTTGAGGCTTCCCTTACTCATGGGGTGATGTCGACCCAGCACTAAGCTGACTTCCCGTCTGTTCAGGGAGACAGTCGTGTGCTCATCAACTGGAAGCATACCCATTCAGGTAAGGAAAGCAGGTGCACATGTGTATTTACCTTTGTTCTCTCTTACACCTGCCTAAAATGACAGATTTTAAGGCATACATTGGCAGGAGTGAGGAGATGAAAGAGGGGACAACAATGCAATTTAGAAGCCAGAAAATTCACAGATGCAAAATAAATGGCCTAGGAGACACAAAACACTGAATTCTAGCCAGAGTGTAGAAAGTTCAGAGCCAACACCGTCCATACCTCAGAACCCCCAATAACTGGTAGCACCAGATTCTGTTGGAGATGGGAGAAGACAACTGGTAGAAAGTGTTTCGGGAGCCAGTAGCCCCCTTCCCCAGAACTCCACCCCGACTCTGAGAGCCTGGCAAACACTCCCCTCCCTCTGGATGAAACCTTGAGCTTTATCCTCTGGATACAGTAAACAGGAGGGTCTGCAGGCTGGTAGAGAAGGCCTAGCTGTGGGGTCCCATACCAAAAATAAATCCTAAGAGAGCACATGCCTGTGACTTTAGACGCTCTTTCTCTCAGCTCCCAGTAGGCTGGTGGCCCAGCCAGTGCCTCTAAGCGAAAAGTGAGAGAATCTTCTTGGGGGTGACCAGCTCGTGCCATTATCAAACTATGGGATTGTGCAGCTTTCTAACATCATGGTAACAGCCTGTGTCCCCTAGCAGGAACATCATAGTCCCCACCTCTCCAGCCAACTCTCATACCCCCCAGAATGACTTTACCTCAGCTTGCTGAGGGGACACTTCAGAATCGGTCTTGCTCACACCCACCCCAGCATCTGCTGTGCTGACGTGAAGGGGTACAACTCCAGGCCACTGGTCTCCCCATCACAAATGGGGCCTCACCAAAGGGGACCCCCAGGAACCCTTCCTCACAGTTGAACATGTTCTGCATAACCCACCAGTGGGCACTGGCACCTGCTTGGGCCCCCACAACCAGCAGTTGGAGCCTTGAAGGCAGATCAAATGTCCTCCACAGGTGTTGTGGACCCTGTCTGACTACAGCAGAGGGTGGAAACTCAGTCCAGAATTTCTAAGAATTTGTCAGTGAAGATGGATCCTTTGTTTGCATATCAGATGGACGCTCCAGGACTACCACCAGGGCCAGATTCCAGGGAGGTCAAAAGCATGTTGACAGTTTAGGCTGAATGTGACTAGAAGTCCCAAGTCCAGGTCTTACTCTAGGAGCACTAGAGCTCCACCTGACACAAAAGTACGAAAATGAAAAAGGGGAGAAGTCTCTTTTTTTTTTTAAAGCTGGTATGCATTGGCTTTTTGGCCTTGTATACCAGCTTAAAAAAAAAAATAAACCATTGCCTTATATAACTGGGCAGTTCAAGGGTGGAGTGCCTTCAGACATGGCTGGGTCCATGAGCTCTAAAAAGATCATCAGAGAGCTCCCTTTTCCTTCACATCTACCTCCATTGTCAGCTTTGCCCCCCTCCAGAATGTCTGAACTCTCTCCTACTACTGATGGCTTCATCCTGTGGCCAGGAGAGATAGCCCAGGGCAACCCCAGTTCCACACCCCCAAGTCTAACAACCTCAGCAGGAAAAGTTATTCTCCCTGACCCTAAGAGAAGACTCCTGGGAAAAACTTCAATTTGCATATGACTGGTCATGTGGGAAGGGGCAAGATACAATGATTTACACCTTCTAGAAACACACGTGGAGGCGGTGAGGTAGGGTAGTTTCAAAAGGAGATACTGGCTAAGCTGACACCAGAGGGGACCCACGTGTGGTATCAAGGGGAGACCAGAGATGGAAGATTCCCCTCCTGGGCATGTGCTCCCAGGAGGGTGCATGATAGAGCTCACCAAGAATGGAGACAATGTCCTCCCCACAGACCACAGCACCGATTCACAGTCAGAGTGGACTTTTATTAGGAAATCACCCTGCAAACACACCACGGAGTGCTGTGGGTTCAACGCGCTTCCTGAGGAAGGAGGGTCACAGTATTGGAGCTGTCGGAGGGACGGGTGGCACAGCCTGTGAGCCTGGCGGTGACTCGAGGCTGCCTGCGGCCAGCACTCCCTCACAGCAACAGGACTCCACCGCAAGAGCCGACACGCAAACGCGACACGAGAAACACGCCCAAGCACACACATCTGCGCTACACTTAAATAATAATAAATACAGAATTCCATTTGCTGTTATCCGTGCCTGAAACAAAAGGAACCCAAAATGGAAAAAGAAAACCAAAATGTCTTTCTCTCCATTAGACCAAGGGAAAACAAAATCCCCAAATTATCAAAATTCCTCAGTTACAAAATACTTTTTAAAAAAATTCCATTATTAAAAGAATAAATAACAAAATATATAAAAAATAACTTGGTTGCATCAAAATTATAACTAGGAGTTATATCAAGATTTTTTGTGGCCTATATTATAGTCAAATAGTTATTTTTGCTTTGAATTCACTTTTTTCCCCTCTTAGGGTGCCCTGGTGTGGGGTCTAGTTGAAATAGTATAAAATTAATAAATAAAAATGTTAAATAAATAGCAAACGTTAACATAAGAGGCTGTGAATATAAATACTTACATCTTGACAAAATTAAATAATTTACAGAATAATTAAACTAACTACTTTTTAATTTTTTCCAGGAAGTGCAATTTCTCTATTTTTAAATACTAACTTGGAATTGCAGTCACAATTGACTTGGATTCTATTTACACGGTAGGGACATTGTGTTTTTAACACATTAAATTAAAATGTACCCTTTTTTCGCATATTGGATGGATCTAAAAGAAGTGAAACCTTTGTGGTCTCCTGTTAGGAATTTACCCTCTGACCTTGATGATGTCATTGCCACCTCCGTCACCATGGATGCAGAGGTCAAGCTCGGCCATGACCCGGAGAATGTGGCAGTGATGGGTCGGGGGCCTGGGTGGATGCACAGAAGCCAGAGTGGTCCCTAGACGTGGATCCCAGACCCAGGGTCTAAAGGCTGCAGCCCCAGTAGGGAGCTGTGACCCAAGGCCATACACATCTGCACAGCCTCAGCGCCAGCTGCCCCCAGACATTAGGCTGATTTTCAGGAGTCTCCCAGGTTAAAATTCCTTGACCTGACAGGGGCTGCGATGCTTGTCAACTGTCTGGAGTATCCTCTGGGAGGCCTATTCCTAACTTTCCCTCTAGAACAGAGCTTTGTTCCACCCTTAACACAAAACTGAATTAAATGAAAACAGAAAACGCACTTTCTTCATCGGCCCTCACTGAGCACAGACACGCTGCCCCAGGCGTGTCCTCCAGGCCAAGATGCCACTCACACCACCCACCCACCACGCTCACGGCTACCCTCCCAGCCTCGACAGACAAAGGAATACTGTGGTTGCAAACTCCAAAACTTCCCTGAGAACCTTGTCCATGAGCTTCCACTGGAGACTTTGAGCTGCTCTTCAGATTTCTTTCAGAAAACAAAAATAAATCACTTTGTAATTCTTCAGTGCCCCTATGCACACAGATAGGGCCACCACGGCCCCAAGCCTGGAGGGAGCCTCGTGGGAGCGGCCAATTTCCAGCCATCCCTTTGGATAAACCCGCCCGCGGCCACACCGGGCCCCAAACGGGAAGTCACTGTGAGTTGGGCATCCCCACGGTGCGGGGCAGGGCGAGGGAGGTAAACGGTGTGGTGGGCTGGGACACTTCTGGGTACCACACGGCCTAGACCTGGATGCCCCTCACAGCCTGCTTGATGCTCTCCAGGAGGTCCTTGTTCTCCGGGTCCTGGTTGGAGTACATGTCGGTGAGGGTGCTCACATAGGCATCGAAATTCTGTTCGCATATTGGCTCCTAGAGAACAGAACCAGGTTAGCAAGCTCCGTCCATGCAGTGGGCCCCACACCGCAGAGCCTGATGTGGGAGCATCAAACCTATGTCCCCACGTGACCTGAGACAAGCCCACACCAACCAGAGGCAGCACTGGGCGTTCCTCTCTGCAGCCATCCCAGCAGTAGCCTCTCTGCTCATGGAATCACCATTTTGCTTTGGATTCATTAGCTACTCTTTATGGCAGCTACTCATTATGGTGGCTAAACCCACCACAGCCAACAGCCCGGGCCATTCGGGGTGGAGAGAATCTCCACAAGGGCACAGGGCCCCTAGGGCAGGACCCAGAGGCAGAGGGGGTGGGAGATGCCCTGCCCTCCTGCTTTCCGAAGAGACCCTGGGGGGTAGCTGTGGTGCCGGCAGGCCCGCGTGCTGCCTACCATGTGCGGAAGGCGGATATTGGCGAGACTTTGGATGAGGGCCTGGCTCAGGCCGGACAGCTCCAGAAACAGGGCTTCATTCTGCTCCTCAATGAGCTTGTTCTCCTCCTCGATGTTCTTCAGGTTCTTCTCCATGGAGGAGATCTGTGCCAGAGAGAGATTCGAAGTGCCGCCTGCCCTTGGCCCCCATCCTCCTGGGGGTCCTCTCTGGGCTGCCTCTCACAACCCTCTGGGAGAATGCAGAACCCTGGGGTGGGGGAAGAGGCAGGGACCCTGCCTTCCTGTAGGGGGTTCTGCCACAGGTGAGGGGCTGGCAGAGGAGAGAAAGGCAAGGGCCCTCTGGAGACATGGGCTGACTCCAGGGAAGCCAGGAAGGGGGCTCGTGTGGCACGTCCCTCTGTGCCATGCTTTCTAGATGGAACTGAAACCCGCCGTGCAGGAGAAGTCCCCACTCCTGGTTTTCTGAGCCCCTCTGTCCTGAGGGGATGGGGTGGGAGCACAGACTTCACAGCGCCCTGTCTCAATCTCAGACTCCACCTGCTGTGGTCTTAGCTTCACCATGTTTCCTGCTTCTATCTGTAAGATGGAAATCACTGCACCCCCCCGTGGAGTGTCAGACTGCCTTTGGGTCTTCCCCTCACCAGAAATCCCCACAAAGAGCCTCCTCAGGGCCTCCCAAGCACGACTTCCCCAGGCCAACTACAGGCAAGTCTTCTCACTTCCCCACCATGGCGGTGAACCTGCCCAGGGTTGTGTTGGCCCTGAGGCCTTTGGTGTCCAGGAATAGCCCCCAGCCTGACTGCACATCTGCAGGGAGCCACGGGGGCAGAGGCTAAACTCACAGAAAGACAGTGTGGGTGACACACGAGGCAGGAGTGGGGAGCTCATTCCTGGGAGGCTGTGGATGGGGTCAAGCACGCTTCTTCTGCCACCTGGTGACAAGCATGTGGCTTTGAAAGGGTTGCATGGGGGATAGGGACCTGCCTTCCCTTTGCCTTTGCCCTTCCGCAGAGGGCACCAGTCACCAAACTCCCTCAGATGGACAGGGGTTTCTGAGTCCTTCCAAAGGGATGCTAGTAAAAGGTAATAATCTGTCTTTAAAAAGATTGGTTTTGGCAAATAAAAAGAAATCAGAGGTGCTACCCCAACGACACTGACACTGATGAAGGCCCTGGGGACTCTGAGAAGGGGAGGAGCAGGGAGCACAAAATGGACACCCACACAACAGTGCATCTCCACACTCAGAGACACCAGGAGGGGACGGGGATGGCTCCGCCGGGAGGGCCATCACTCCTTCTCTGTCGTCACTGCCTATGAACCTGGGGGGATGCAACATCGACATGTGCATGACAGCGAAAATCCTTCCTGATCCCTGTGGGGTGATGCTATTTTTATACAGGCTCTTGAGTAACAAGCGGTCAACGTGAGCCTGTTTGCCAGTAGAGACCAGAGCAGAGTCAACATGAGCCTGTTTGCCAGTAGAGACCAGAGCAGAGTCAACATGAGCCTGTTTGCCAGTAGAGACAAGAGCAGAGTAATGAGACACGTGGGGCTGGAGGATGTTACTCATTTTTTGCTGCCTTGGTGGAGGCCACCATCTCCCCATCTGTCCCTGCCCAGAGGGGCTCTGCCCAAATTCTCTGTGGGACCTGGTCACTTCCTTGTCCCTTTGTCCCTCTAGCTGTTAGGGGCACAGTTATGTCTCCCCCAGCACGGCTGCAGACTCCACTCAGCAGCCACAGGTGGGGCATGCTCTTATTTTCAAAATAAGATCTTTACTGCTTTTTTTTTTCTGATTACAAATGCTCATTTTAGGGAAATCAGGAAATATGACACAAACATTTAAAATAATTTGTAATCCTAACCCTCAGCAACAGCAGCTCTCATCGACGGCACTTACTCTGGATCAGGTGCTTATGCTGAATGTTTTCCTCATAGAAATGCGTTCATTGTACAATAACTGGCTGGAGTAGAATCCTATTCTTACCTCCATTTTATGGAGGAATTGACTGAGGAAGAGGCTGAAAGGTTTGTCAGGTCCCTCAGCTGTGACAAACATGTGGCTGTGCTGGGTGCTGGGAAGGAAACCCGGCTCCAGAGACCTGGCTCTACCGCACCACGCTCATGGACCACTGGTACTCACAAGACTGGTAATCCTAATGGGACCGCTGGTCTTGACAGGACTACTCATTCTAATGAGAGTAAGAGAAACAGTGCTGCTAATCTTAATGGGACTAGTATTATTAATAGTGTTATTAACACTAATGAGACCACAGCCCTGGCGGGACAACCAGCTCCGGCGGCCCACTGGCACTCACAGTGTGACTTCACGGACTCCGCATTGTGAGCGGCCAGCACGTCCTAAGTGTGCCTGTGTGCCAGCCACTGCGCTGTCCGTCAGCTCAGCCCTGACAGCAACCTTGATGAGTGCCGACGGATGCCTCACTGTCCCCAAGACGAATGTTTGGGTTGGGTGGGCAAAGAGCCCAGGAGCGGGGGGCGGCACCACCTACCTGGGACTGCAGCTGCACCATGGCAGCCTCCATCTCCGAGTTGGACTCGTTCAGGTCTCGGATCTCCTGGTTCAGCTGCTTGATCTCCTCATCATTCTCCAACACTGACCCAGAGAGAAACCTCAGTTGTGGCTTTGGGCCTCAGGCAGGCCTGGGCCAAAGTGCTGTGGGGAAGCCTGCTTTCTAGAACTGAAACCCCCTGTGCAGCAGAGGTCTCCCCTCCTGGTTTTCCGAGCTCATCTCTCTCTGGGGCTCATACCCCACATTATGCGCTGGAGAAATCTGTCTTGAAAATTGTGAGATGAGTGTTTATAGTTTGCCTTCCGAGCTGGCTGGCAGGTGGAAAGGCTTAAATCTCTTTGGGAGGTATTAAATGCTACATTAAAGATGGAAGTTTGTTCAGGCAATGCTGAATTTCCTCACCTAAGGGGGAATGAGCCACACCTCTCCACAAACTCACAGCACATGGGCTCCACTGGACTCTGATCCCAGTGGTCACCAAAGCCGCAGGTTACAGCAGGCATGACCTCCTCAGGGCCAGGGACCCCAGACACAGGTGTCAAGAGCTTCAGAGCCAAGGTCCGAAAGGCTGTCAGCTTAGGTGAAGGGATCTGCCTCTGCCGTGACTCATTCCAGGAGGGGCTTCATCTCCCTAACCTTCTTCCCACCAGCACAAAAGGTGCACAGCTCTCACTTACCCTGGCACCCAGCCATGAGCAGGGAAATCCAGGAAGCCATCCTTACCGTCGCTAGTCTTGAACTTTGGACTGAGGAC
Source organism: Homo sapiens (assembly GCF_000001405.40). Classification (NCBI taxonomy): domain Eukaryota; kingdom Metazoa; phylum Chordata; class Mammalia; order Primates; family Hominidae; genus Homo; species Homo sapiens. Next base: position 145,206 of record NT_187624.1, on the reverse strand, counting down.
CTCATCCCCTGACAGTTTTCCCTTCTTTCCAGCAAAGGTTGCTCTGGGACAGCCTGACAAACTGGAAGCAGAGGCCACATATCATTCACCAGCCCAGGGTCACCCACCACGACCATCCCAGGGTCACATACCACGGCCAGCCCAGGGTCACATACCACGGCCAGCCCCGGGTCACCCACCACGACCATCCCAGGGTCACCCACCACGGCCAGCCCAGGGTCACCCACCACGGCCATCCCAGGGTCACCCACCGCGGCCATCCCAGGGTCACCCACCGCGGCCAGCCCAGGGTCACCCACCGCGGCCATCCCAGGGTCACCCACCGCGGCCAGCCCCGGGTCACCCACCACCGCCATCCCAGGGTCACCCACCACAGCCATCCCAGGGTCACCCACCACAGCCAGCCCAGGGTCACCCACCACGGCCATCCCAGGGTCACCCACCACGGCCAGCCCAGGGTCACCCACCGCGACCATCCCAGGGTCACCCACCACAGCCAGCCCAGGGTCACCCACCACGGCCATCCCAGGGTCACCCACCACGGCCAGCCCAGGGTCACCCACCGCGACCATCCCAGGGTCACCCACCGCGGCCAGCCCAGGGTCACCCACCGCGGCCAGCCCAGGGTCACCCACCGCGGCCATCCCAGGGTCACCCACCACGTCCAGCCCAGGGTCACCCACCGCGGCCAGCCCAGGGTCACCCACCGCGGCCATCCCAGGGTCACCCACCATGACCATCCCAGCGTCACCCACCACGGCCAGCCCAGGGTCACCCACCACAGCCAGCCCAGTGTCACCCACCACAGCCAGCCCAGTGTCACCCACCACAGCCATCCCAGGGTCACCCACCACAGCCATCCAAGGGTCACCCACCACAGCCAGCCAAGGGTCACCCACCACGGCCAGCCAAGGGTCACCCACCACCACCAGCCCAGTGTCACCCACCACGGCCATCCCAGGGTCACCCACCACGGCCAGCCCAGGGTCACCCACCACAGCCAGCTCGGGGTCACCCACCATGGCCAGCCCCGGGTCACACACCATGACCATCCCGGGGTCACATACCACGGCCAGCCCCGGGTCACATACCATGGCCAGCCCAGGGTCACTCAGCCAGCCCAGGGTCACCCATCATGACCATTCCAGGGTCACCCACCGCGGCCATCCCAGGGTCACCCACCATGACCATCCCAGCATCACCCACCATGGCCAGCCAAGGGTCACCCACCACCACCAGCCCAGTGTCACCCACAACGGCCATCCCAGGGTCACCCACCACGGCCAGCCCAGGGTCACCCACCACAGCCAGCTCGGGGTCACCCACCATGGCCAGCCCCGGGTCACACACCATGACCATCCCGGGGTCACATACCACGGCCAGCCCCGGGTCACACACCATGACCATCCCGGGGTCACATACCACGGCCAGCCCCGGGTCACATACCACGGCCAGCCCAGGGTCACTCAGCCAGCCCAGGGTCACCCATCATGACCATCCCAGGGTCACCCACCACGGCCATCCCAGGGTCACCCACCATGACCATCCCAGCATCAACCACCATGGCCAGCCCAGGGTCACCCACCATGACCATCCCAGGGTCACCCACCACAGCCAGCCCAGTGTCACCCACCACAGCCATCCCAGGGTCACCCACCACAGCCATCCCAGGGTCACCCACCATGGCCAGCCAAGGGTCACCCACCACCACCAGCCCAGTGTCACCCACCACGGCCATCCCAGGGTCACCCACCACGGCCAGCCCAGGGTCACCCACCACAGCCAGCTCGGGGTCACCCACCATGGCCAGCCCCGGGTCACACACCATGACCATCCCAGGGTCACATACCACGGCCAGCCCCGGGTCACATACCACGGCCAGCCCAGGGTCACTCAGCCAGCTCAGGGTCACCCACCACGGCCAGCCCAGGGTCACATACCACAGCCAGCCCAGGGTCACCCACCACGGCCAGCCCAGGGTCACCCACCACGGCCAGCCCAGGGTCACCCACCACGGCCAGCCCAGGGTCACACATTACGGGTTAACAGAAGGCATGTTCCACCTCACCTAGATGACCTGGAGGGCCTCCCTATGGCCAAACTGTGTTCTATGGGGAAAAAGAAGCTACATCTAGGCAGGGCAGAGGCTGGGAAGGGGACACTCCAGAGCTCACCTCATCTGGCACAGCCATAGCTGACCCTGCCTGATACTCGGGGGGCCAGGGCACCGTTGCTCTCAGCAGGGCTCCCTCTGGGGTCTGAGGTCCACATGACCCACTTGCCGGTACTTTGCAGCCCTGACCTCCCAGAGGAGCCCATCCTAGCTGCGTCTGCCTCTGAGATACCCTCTAGGCTGTGGTGATAATGACAGTCACAGATCACTCCTCGGATATAGACACTCAAGCAGAAAAATGCATTACAATTGTGCATTCTCAAGCATGATTTCATTTATGAAGTGATTGTATCCACACCATAAGTAAAGGTTGATTGAGGCAAGGTAAGATGTCCTTAGGAAGCCCAGCATAAGTCTCTGCCCAACTGACCCCGGCTGCAGTAGTCTCCTTTAGTGGCCTTCCCGGCTTCTGCAGCTGTGTCCATGCCAGCTGCCCATGCCAGATCTAGTCTCTCCTCTGCCTTCTGCCAGGGCCCTCACTCACAGTGAAAGCTGAGTCCTTGCCAGCGGGCAGCCAGATAAGCCCTGGCTTAGAACTTTCTACCTCATCTCTTTTGCTCCCTCTCCCTGGCTCCAGGCCCTCAGCACCTCCAACCTTGTCCAGCGGGCCAGGCTGTTCCCAGCTCCAGCCACTTCGCTGAGGGCTTGTGCCCCAGACACCTCAGGCCAAGCTGCTACTTCCTTCTCAAAGAGGACTTCCTTGTCCTCTTCCCTGCTTCTTTTTTGCCCAGCACACGCACCACCATTCACCATACTAAGTAATTTACGTATTTATTTGTTTACAGGCTGTCCCACCTACTCTGCCCAAAATGCACTCTACAAGGATAAGGGGTAGTTGTCCTTTTTTTCTCTGCTCTCTCTCCAAGGCTTGGTACATGGTGCAAATGCTTTTGTTGAATGAGTGAGTTAATTAATCTTGTAGATGGAGGAAGGAAGGGAAAAGGGAGGGGAGGGGAAGAAAAAGAAGAGAAGGGGAGGAAGGTGGGGGAAGGGAAGGGGAAGGTGAGGGGGGAGGGGAGGGGAGAGGAAGAAGGGGAGGAGAGGGGGTGGGGAGGGAGTGGGGGAGGTGGGGGGTGGGCAGAGGGAAGGGAGGGGAGGGGTAGGAGAGGGGAGGGGAAGGGGAGGGGAGGGGAAGGGGAGGGGAGAGGAGGCAAAAGGGAAGGGAGAGGGGAGAGGAAGGAAGGAGAGGGGAGGGGAAGGGGAAGGGAGGGGAAAGAAGGAAAGGGGGAGGGATAGGGGAAGGGAGAGGGGAGGAAAGGGGAGAGGGGAGGGAAAGGGAAGGAGGAAGGGAGGGAGAAGAGGAAAGGAGGGAGAAGGGAGGGGAAGGAGGAGGGAAGAAGGGGAGGGGAGGGACAGGGGAGGGAATGAAGAGTCAGCATTGGCCCTAGGCCCAGACACAGGGTTTCTGATGGGACCAGGCACTCATTGTCACCATAGGACACAGACAGGAAGTGGGGCTGGTGAAGCAAGGTCCTTCGGCTCTGGAGCAGGTGTTGGAGGGCAGGCGAGAGTTGGTGAATGCTGCCCAGGCCCACTGCCTGACAGAGAGGGGTTACCAGCTCCCTTGCAAGGCAGGCAGGGGTCTCTGCCCAGAGTTCAAAGAAGAGGCATGAATGGGACGGACAGGGCATAAGGTGTAGGAGACAAACTTTTCCTGAGAAGGTATGAATGGGAGGGACAGGGCATAAGGTGTAGGAGACAAACTTTTCCTGAGAAGTTGTCAGCCTGTTAAGAGAACGTAAGTGTCAGACCCAGGGCTCTGCTCATGTGTGGCCTCTGTGTCCAGCATAACACCCAGCCAGGAAGGACTCCATCAGGATGTGGAAGGGTGGCGTATGAGGGGAGACGCATGGCGAAGACATAACCCACAGCATCACCTGGCACCAACAGACCCGCTAGCCTCCCCCATCCGCTACCCATGTGGCCTGGCCTTTCCCTTGAGCAACTCTGGTCACACGGAGCCCTGGTCTGGCCCTCCCTCAGGAGCTTCAGCCCCAGGCCCCAGGCGAGGGTCCCTACTGACTGCACAGAGGGGCAGGACCTGCAGGCACAGTTACCTCCGGTGGGTGAGGAAACTCCCATTGGCGTGGCCAGAGCCGTCACAGCCCGGGGTGGGGCAGGTCGGTCCTTCATTCTTCAGGGACTTCCAGGAGAATGACGAGCCATTGAGGGACCCTTCCTTCTGCCTGCGGGCGGCCAGTGGGCAGCCGGATGCGCTCCTGTGAGAGGCGTATTTCCCGCTGATGTGACCGAGCCCCACACAGCCTGGAACTGGGCACCTGGGTACAGAGAGGCCGGGGTGAGTACAGGGGCGAAGGGTTGGGAGGAGAAGCCTGGAGACTCTCTCAAGCCAGACACAAGGGGAGCCCAACTCAGAGCCGTTAAAGGGCTTCTGAGTGAGGCAGGGAGGGCCGCTGAGGTCCTGGAGCCTCAGGGAAGAACTGGCCCTTCCGGGCTGAGTGTGAAGACCCGGGCCACGCTCCCTCTTCCGCTTTGGCCTCACAGCCCCTGCATGACTGGGGTCTCCACAGCCACCTTCTTTCCGTGCCCTCCAGCAGCCGTGACCCTGGGCCTGGGGGCTGCTCTCAGGTTCCCTCCAAGCCTTGCTGCTGGAGTCACTTGTGTGTCACTCAGCAATGTGGAGCCATGTTGTCAGCTGAGACCACCTAGAGGCCACTCCCTGGGAGCTTGCATCAAGCATAGGCCTGGGGGCCTATGGATCACAAAAGAATGACAAGGTCCCCTAAGCAGGGGAGCTCAGGGACAGCAGAGGCCTGTCACCCCACAGCCTCCCAGACTGAGGCCAGTGCAATCAGGGGGCAATGCCCATAGATGTTGCAGCTTTGCCACCACTGAGATCTATGTTCTAGAAGGAAGAACGCAGACCTCATGTGGGGGAGACTCGCTACCCATAATCACTCGTGCCTGAGGCTGGCCTTAAATGGTGTTTTCCTTTCCTTCGTTCTGGGTGTTCCAGGAGAGGGATAGAGGCCCTTATGAAAATAACATAAATTCAGATTGGCAAATGCCTTGGGCTCAGTGTGGGTCAGAGACAAACAGGACAGCGCAGAGGGCCCAGGCCCATGACCTCTCTGAGTGTCTGTCCCCACTGCCTCAGGGAAGGACCTGGACCAGGACTTGGGGAGCTGAGGGACCACGTCATCCAGGAACCCACGCCAAACCCAGGACAAGATCTTCAATCTGCAAGGCTCATTCTTATCTCTTCATAAATGAAACTCATCCAAATTACCGTTTGTCACACACTCCCTGTGTGCTGATTACCTGGCAACACAAGACCCCGAGAGGTCACCATGGCTCCATTTACGAGGAGATTCATGGGCATACAGGGAAGTCACTGTCAGCGCAGGAAGCGCTCGGGAGGACGGTAGCAGGGGGCGGGGGCGGGGGCAGAGGCTCCCGCCGTAGGGGTGAGAGGCGGCTCAGGGCTGCGCTGCCCAGTGGAAGGTCAACAAGGCCTGGACAGGGAGGGCAGCGTCCGGCTCCTTGCCCCCACACTCTGGCCTCGTCTCTGAAGCTGCCGTTTCAGACCCTTCCCAGCCAACTCGGCCAGGACCCTGCTTTCTCTCTCTCCACAGGCCCCTCTCTTGGTTCTTTTCCCTTTGTTACTCATCCCACCCACCTGGCCCTCAGAAACTTTTAGGACATTCCCTGAGCCAGTCCGAGGTCACCTCATCCCCGTCCAGAGCAGAGACACTGCCAGGGGCCCCTATGGGAGCTTTGGGAAGTTCACATTCAATGTCCAGCCCCCCTCTGATGGGGATGGCCCAGCCATGGGACCCTGGGGGACACCTGCACCAGGCACAGACTGGCTGGGAAGAGGCTCTGTGGCCAAATGGGGGGTGGCTGGCTCTTCAGCTACTCTACACAGTCGAATCTGAATTATTATTAGTAGTAGTAGTAGTATTTTTGAGATGGAGTCTCGCTCTTGTTGCCCAGGCCGGAGTGCAGTGGCACAATCTTGGCTCACTGCAACCTCCGCCTCCCGGCTTCAAGCGATTCTCCTGCCTCAGCCTCCCGAGTAGCTGGGATTACAGGCGCCCGCCACCACGCCCGGCTGATTTTTGTATTTTTAGTAGAGATGAGGTTTCACCATGTTGGCCGGGCTGGTCTCGAACTCCTGACCTCAGGTGATCCACCCGCCTCAGCCTCCTAAAGTGCTGGGATTACAGGCATGAGCCACAGTGCCCGGCCCAAATCTGAGTTATTTTCACTCCCTTTCTTGCAAAACACTACTCCCCTTCATCAAGGGAAACTGTTTTTGTTCCCTTGAATCGCATACATGGAGAGGATTTCAGATTTCAGGTATGTTCTCTTTCTCACAAAACCTGGTGTGGAGACTTTCAAGCTGTCAGGGACATCATGTTGAGAGGTGCTGGGGCGGTGGGGGCAGGCACTGAGCTGGTGAGGCCTCTGTGCTTCTTGGGTGAGCTAGTGTTTCCTATCACGTGTTGGGGGGCAGAAGCCGTGTGTGCCAGTGACATGAGAAACATGGCCAGGACCAGAAGTCCCCTCCAGGGACAGTGGGCAGGGCAAGGGGAGCATTCACCTCTTGACTCCCATGCTGGAACCTCCGCAAGACTTTTATGACCAGTTATAAAGCTGTGGCAAAGGGATTTACCACCAAGCGCCTGATGTGACTTAATTTTAAATAGCGCAGGCAGGAGATATCATAAAAAGGACTCCTGTTCCACCAGGCTCCCCAAATCACAGCTCATGCATGCTGACGAAATCCCATCCCTCAGCATGACCTGACACATCCATTCCAGTTTCTGCTTTGATATGCATCTGTTTAAATATGCTAGGCAATTACAAGTGCAGTTAAAGTTTATGGCTGGGAAGGAACCCTGTAAAACGGAGGGTTCAGTAGTCAGGTTCCCTCTGCCATGGAGCCTCTAGGACCTTCCTCTATCCTGCAAATGCTGAAGTGTTTCTGAAAGTCACAGTCTCCACTCGGCTGCAGAACTCTTGTTTTTTTTTAAAGCTCAGTTGACAGCACATTAGAAAGGAAAACCATTTTTCCTGGTTAATTTGAAAAATGCTGATCTTGATTTTAATCATTTGCAAATGCAGCACGATTCACTTATAATATCCCTGCCAGCAGGATCCTTGCCAAATCCATAAAGGTGTTGCACTTATATGATCATAGGCAAATTCCTGGATTCTCAGGGGCAAAATGCTTTTTATCCACCTCAGCATTTAGTGTGCGACCTTCATAGTACTAACAACCAAAATTTTGCATTGTTAATTTAGCATTCATTACAGTTTTATTGTAAAAATTAAATAAATAAACAAGCCACAGCCTATTACACCAAACAGCTGGTGGGCCCATCCCCGTCTGAAGGATGTGATGTTGGTCAATTAGGCTCCTCCAGTGTGGCCGGGTGTTTGGGCACAGCTGGAGCAAACTACCAGGAGGAGCAACCCAATCTCAGGCCAAGTTGCCCCTCCCCGGGCGTGAGGTCTGGCTGCTCTTGGCCCAGCAGGTAACACAACGAGGGCAACCTGCTTCCTGCGGGCATAGTAGGGCCCCGTCCCGACCGAGCCGGCCCCTAACCCTGGGCAACAAGGTGTCCAGAGCCATCATTTCCACTCTGCTCACCTGCTGGGGAACCCACTGCCCATTTTGCCAGATGTCAGCTCTGAAAGTACCTCGGTCCTGGGCAAAATGGCCAGTGGGTCACCTGGTCTGAGTCTGTAGCAAAGCATTCCCCCCACCTAAAAGTGGGCAGTGCAGGGGACCCGTTCCCTATTGGGAGAATAAGCTTGTAAGGACACAAACCCCCACCAAGTAGGATAACACACAGAGTCAGGGTTCACCTATAAGCCCCACAAAGACACACGAGCCCCCACCCTGCCCCAGTGAGAAGAGCAATAGAGGAGAATCTTTTCTCCTCAAGGACTTGGGTCACTTAAGGCCCAAGATGTCCTCTTTCCTTCACCCAACAGTGTCTGGCTCCCAGTTTAGATCCTCCTGGCTCTCTCAATCTACCAGCTCTCTGCACAGGTGTGTGGGTGGATGGACACATGGGATTTGGAGCTTCAACATTGTTCTAACCACCTTCTCCTCCTTGACTCCTGCATCTCACCTTTCCTGCCAGACAAATTCTGCAGGTTGCAAGGCCCTGGGGCCCACTCCCAGGTGGCCCTAAGACATAGGTAGAAGGGTGCTCTGCCTCTCCCAGCCCCGTCAAATACTCCAGACCTGAAAAGCCCAGAAAATCTGGCACCCATGCCCTCCACGCGACATCCAGGGCTCCTATCTTCACAGGTATCAACGTGTAGCGTATGAGAGCTTCCATAAAAATGAAAGAAACGAAAGTTGGCGTTGGTCAGTTAGGTGACCCGTTGTATTAATGAAAAGGGAATCTAGTAGGAGTTTTTTTACATTATAAAACACACGAAAATCTCAATTCCGCAATGCAATGAAAGAGCCAGCATGGCCCAACGTACTTCATCAGCTCGGGGTCCTCCTTGTCGTCCTTGGTGGGTGCCACCTTGACTCCACTTTTCTTTGCACGAGGGCAGCCGGACAAGCTGATTTCGAAAGAGGAAAAAAGGCCACCTTAGTGCTGGAACCGCAGCTTCTCACACCCGTTCATCTCACCCTCTCCCCTCAAGCTCTGTGACCCCAGGGTGGGGTGGGAGGGAGTGAGGGCAACCGATGGGTCAGTTGTAAGAAGCAGAATCCACAGACACAGCCTTCACACGAGGCAGCAGGGTCGGGAAGGAGAAGCATTACCACGAGCCCCTAGCCCTGACCCCTTGTCTTTTTATCTTACTGCAGAGGACAACTTAATCAGGTTCTGGAAATGGCAACAATTCAGATTAAAGAGATGGGAATGGACTCTAGCTGTCAGCAACATTAGTGTCTTCTAATCTTCATATAAGGAAGAGACTCCCTGCCCACCCCTGGGGCCCAGGACCTGAGGGTGTGGCAGGCTCACCTCCGGTGTGAAGCGTAGTTCCCTGTGATGTGGCCAGAGCCGTCACAGCCGGGCGTGGGGCACCTGCAGAGGGAAGCAGAACTGGAACGGGAGCCCGTGAAGGCGTTTAGCCCCGGCCCAGAGCCCTGGGACCCCCAGAGGAAAGCCTTCTGGGCTCAGCCCTTGAGTGCGCCCACCCACATTCCCTTGTCCGCAGAGGAGCATCGCCGATGTTCACCCCGGCTGCCGACTGCCAGCAACAGGGGTCTGATGCGATCATCTCAGGGGTTCAGTGCTTTGCTCCCCCGTCTCCCCGAGGGAGACCAGGAAGTCTGAGAGGAGAGCAGCCAACTGCTGCTCCAGCATCGGTTTACACCCAGACACCAAACCTGGGCACTGGGACAGGCCTACAGGGTCCACTGCAGCCAAGGACACGAAGGGCTCCCAGCTTGGACTTCTGTAGGGTCCGGTCTGGACTAAAGGCATTCAGAGCATATCTGAGCCATAACTTGAAGCACAGCCTAAGACCAGTTCATCTTCTTGGATGGGCTGGGAGCTTGCCCTCACAAAGCGTGGCCACCATGGGCTGGTAAATGAACAGAGGCCTTTTTGCACACCTGCTGCAGAGCAGATGGCGCTGGCCATGCCAGGCCTGGCTGTTGTATAGCATGACTGCAGAGTTCACACAGCCAGTGGCTTACAGCAGAGAGTAAGGAGGAGAAACACAAAAGTCCAACTTTACACACCCAAAACTATTTGACGAATGTATCACATAAGGTGGTACAAAATTCCACTTTAATATTACAAGCACGGATGTTATTTTCTTCCGAATGTCCACTGAGGAAAAAATATGTGAGTTCCTGCTGATGTTAGAGAGTGGGAGGAGGTGACCTGATTCTGCGGGTAGATCCATCCCCCGTCAGGCCTGCTCTCTGTGCCTCACCCCTCCTGACCCCTGACCCTGCAGGAGCCAGGCAAGAGTTCAGTGCTTGTGTCCAGATCACCTGCTGCTCAAAGGCACTTTGCAGTGGTGCTCAGACCCCAGGGAGGACGTCTCACTTTCCATGCTGCTGGCCCTTCCTCACCGGAGTCTTCCACCAGCACATGTGACATCCGGCCACTGGGACAGGACATCTCCTCGCTTGGAGGAAGATGAAGCCGGGCACAGCCTGGCACCCAAAGGGCTGTGGCGGCACAGCAGGGCTGGCCCCACCTCTTGCAACCTTCTCTTCGGCCCCTAGGAGTTTTTTTGGGGTGCCCTCCTGGGGAGCCTCACATTCCTTCATCCTTGCCCTGTGGGCCACACATTGGATACCTTGCTGGCCAGCCAAGAGAACTGAAGATGGCCTGCCTCTCCTTCCTGGGTTGGCAGCTGTTCAAGTGGCCACTTGGGGCTCCAGCTCCTTGTCTCAGTGGCAGCAAAGCATCAGGTAGAGCTCAGGTTCAGTGCGGTGGGCAAGTGGCCACTCAGGTGGCCAGAGTGACAGACCCACAGCAGCTCTAGGCCTCAACGGGGATAAGCACAGCATTGGACTGTGAGTGGCATCAACAGCAGAGGAGATACTTCCCGATGGCATCTGTGAGTGAGTCTCAGGTGGGGGTATAACTCCCAAGGGGCCGGCAGTACCTAACACACAGGGGGGGCCATCCTGCAGTCCTCACTAAGGCCCGATTCAATGGCTTTTCTCAAGAGTTGTGTCCCAGAGAGGAAAGTACTCACATAGTCAGAGGAGCAGGTGTCCCCTCTGCATGCCCCTCATGGCTCTGTGGACCCCCAGGGTCAGCTGCAGGAATCTGGAGCCACATCCACCCCTCCCACCACCTGCTTCTGAGTGCCCCATCTGGGCAGAAGGGAACACCGTGTCTGAGGGGCACCCTCTACCTTGGCAATACACACCAGGTCTCACCTCTCTAAGCCCCATCCCCGTGCTGTGGACAGGCATTCTTCACCCTGCACAAAGCCTGTCATGCCCTGGCAGGTGTGTGTGGTTGCAGCTCAACTCCCAACACAAGATGAGCTGAGTGGCCCGAGGCGGCCATGTCCTCACAGCCCTTGACCACATCAGACACATGGGAGGGAAGAGTGAACGCCCTTGGGATTCACTTAAAACACAGAACACACATCATCTGACTGTCGCTGCAGCCAGGTGCGGACAGGGAAGTCATGAAAGGAACCTCGTTTGTCCCAAGGCCACCGTCACCCATGGCTGCCACGAGGCTGATCAGGAGGGGCCAGTGCCCGATGCCGCCTCACACAGGAGGTGGCAGAGAGCAAGGAGGTTGGTACACCAGGACACGTGGCGGGGGGAGACCACCATCGTCCCAAGCTCATGCAGTGGTCGGAGGGAGGAAAGGAAGTGGCCTCCCATGGAAAGGCCCCTGGGGGAGAGTGGAGTTTCTGAAGGAGCCTGGAGGCCGTGGCTGCCTGCCCAAACCCTGCTGATGCTGATGAGCGGTTCACTTTCACACAGGGGAGGCTTTTGGTCGTTATTTCTAAAGAAGTTTGGCGTTAAGGTTCTTCACAGGCTCTTAGTCTTAAAAAAGCACTAACTCTCCCAGACGGCCATGTCTCCAGGCCCGAACTGTGCCAAGCTCCTTTCATCCGCCCAAGCATCCACTTCACAGGACAGAAAGGACATGGTGACATTTGGGGCCACTGAGTGCCTGCAGCCACATTTCTCCTCTTAAATTATTCAGGCCCAAATGGGAAAAACCATGGAGACTAATCACGGAAAAGAAAGCAGAATTGGAAAAGGAAAAAGGAATGCAAGAAAGATGGCAAGAGAAGAAGGAAAGAGGGAGAGAGGACAGTCCCAGAAGCTGCAGGACTGAGTGTTTCCTGGGTTTCTAGGACTAGACAAAGTGGGCGGCAGAATGAATGAATAAGTCAATGTGTGCAGCTGCTGTGGTGATCTCAGCCTCAGAAAATGCTTATGTTGAAGCTATTAACTTCCAGGAAGGAAACTTAGATGCTGCACCCCACTCTGTGGGAACTGAAGGGCCTCATGACACACTCCTCCTGGCTGCTGGGGCCAGACCAGCCTCCAGAGGGGAACAGAGACAAGGCTGCTGGTGGGGGCTCTGGGAGACCTAGAGCTTTCTGTCCAGGTCTGAGCCAGCCAAGGTCCCTAGAAGCCTTCAGCAAGTTCATTTCCTCATCTTAGAGGCACCAGTGCCCAGGATCCTGTCTGGCCCCAGAATGGAATAAGCCAGGGTGTGTTGACCTGGATTCAGGGCCCCCAACACAGAGGCCTATGGGAGGGAGGGACACCCCTGGAGAGAGGTGACCTGAGGAGACAAGAATGGGACCCCCTTCCTCCAAGGCCTCAGCTCGGCCCCGGTGCCCAGGAGGAGCTCCCCATGGCTCAGGGTCACACAGGCTGAGGAGTCACAGCACAACTGGAGGCATGAAAACCAAAGGCAGTAACAGTCCCTGACTCCAGCCCCAGGAGGACACTGACCCCTGGAAACCTCTGGGTGCTTGCGCCTGGTTGTGCAGGACTGTCCAGCAAGCTATAGCTGGTGCCTGCAGGGCCTGCCCTGCCCATGTGTTAGGTAGGGGCAGGGAGGTACAGAAGCAGAAACGGGTGAGCCCAGCAAAGAGAAGGCATGAGCATGGGGGGAGGGCATCAGGGCCAAGGCAGAAGCAGCTGGAGCGTGACAGGAGAGGGGAGGGGAAGGAGCTTTCTCTTCATTATCAGCGTTCAGTTCATTTAGCAAGAGCCGCACAGCCTGTGGCCTGCCGAGCCACGGCAGGGCTTACGTTCCCTGGTCGGTTCTGGGCTTTTCCCAAATCTCTAGGGCAGTAAGAAAGCAGGCCCAGACAGCCCTGTCGGGGATCTTCAGGAGAGGCTGGAGGGTGGGGGATGGGTCAAGAGCAGCGCAGGAGCCTGCAGCGACCCCTAGCCCCCAGCGGAGAGGCAAACAGCAGAGCTCAGAGCAGGTGCACACAGGCAGAGCAGCCCCAGCCAAGCAGAATCGGCCCCTCCACGGCCCTGCCCCTCTGCCCATCTCAGGAGAGCTGGGGCCAGCTGAGGCTTGGCACCTTGGAGAAGGCTGATTTTGGCAGGAGCCTCATGGAAGGAGAGCAAAGCGAGGGTGCCGCCCAAGAGACAGGAGGTCAGGGAGCGCAAACATACTTGAGGTCAGCAGAGTGGGCAGCCATGAGGTTTCTGAGGCTCTTGTCAGCAAGAGGGCAACCAGAGAGGCTGAAAGAGAAGAGATGGGATATTGGGGTAAGCCAAAGAGGGAGAGCAGAGGAGGAGGAGAGGAGGAAGACCCACCACGAAGCACCCAGGCCAGACGGACCCGAGCAGGAGACAAACCTGCGGTGGGAGGCGTAGTTCCCGGTGATGTGGCCGCTGCCGTCACAGCCAGGGGTGGGACAGCTGGACAAAGGAAAAAGAGTGTCAGACCGGAGAGTGGTGTGTACCTGCCCCCCAGGCTGAGCCTGCTCTGCGAGGGAGACTGGTGCCCACTCCTGGCTCACCCGCGAGCCAAGCGGTGGCCCCTCCTCCACTCAGTCCTTGGAGGACAGCCGGTGCCTCTCAGGCTGGAAGTTTCTCCCACACAACTTAACTCAAGAAGAAAAAGTAACCAAATTAAAGTTGAGCTTAAAGTTAGGATGCCTCTGACGCACATGTGCTGTGTGTGCACGTGTATGTGCCCACGAATATTTAGGCAGAGGAGCTCCTTCCCTTCTCCAGGCCCTGAAGCAAGGCCTTCCCTGGATCCAGCCACTCCCAGGAGGGCAAGCTACAAGTGTGAGGGTACAAGAGGGGTTCAGGTTGGGGAGAAGAGGGACCCCAGAAATGTACTCTGAGCACATGTGAGAGCTGGATCACCTGTGGAGCAGGTGCCAGGCACAGCCTCTCACAGTCCCCTAGGACAGGTGGCTGGCAATGAAGGCTGACCAGAAGGTCATTGACATCTGATTCATATCCATCAGCAACTCTGTCTGTTCCAACCCCATGCGGACCAGCTCAGACACGCAGCCTCTGGGCCAGCCAGGCTGACAGAGTTGAGGGTGGTGAGCCCTAAGGCAGTACATTCCAGGCCTTGGCCATGGAGCCCAGGGCAGAACGTGCCCAGCTGCGGCCTCAGGGAGAGGGCCAGGCCTCTGGGTGCCCCGAGGGCTTCCTGCAGAGCTCTCTGAGGAGCTCTCCTCCACTCTGCCCCTGCCCTGCTCTGTCCTGCTTGGTGAGCTTGGCCAGGGGATTTCTTTGTTCTTAATCACTTTTAGAAGATTGCAGTAAAGCCCAGCACAACACAAAGGTGTTGGGAAACCTCTGAATACCCTGGCTCCTGTCACAGGCTGCCTGGCTCGAGGTGGTCAGGACAGGTCGGGGAAAGCCTGAGCAGACCCGGTCGTCATGGGTTGGGACCAGGGCCTGTTCCTCCCCAGGCCACAGAGGGTCCCCTAGGAGCTGTGCCAGCCAAACAGGGACTTACGTGAGCAGCTCCTTCTTTATGTCCTTGGAGAGAAACTTCAGCTTAAAGTTGGTCAGGGTGACTTCCCCCGGATACTTCCGCTCCTCAAAATTCTCTTCCGACACTTCCTGGTCATCTGCTTCAGAAGAAGCAAAAGAATGGGCTGCTGGCTCTGACTGCAAAAAACCAGCAGGAAGATGTTTTAACCGGCTGGCGGGGAGGCCTGGGCGCCCAACCCAGTGGGCGAGGGAGAGGGACCCTTCAGGACAGTGTCCACAGAAGCATCTCCCGGAGTCTCCTATCTTCTGGATAAGGGAGGAAGACTTAACTCCCCCCAGCAAAACACAGAAGACAACACCCCTGAGGGGCTGGATCCCTCCCCTGCTTCAGCCAGAGGTCCTGCGTTGCCCTAGAAATGAGGCCTGGTGCTGCCCAGTGTGGCAGGCTCCTGACACCCTCCCTGGCCTCCCTCCGCCACATCACTCCGCAGCGTAAACATCAGGATACAGTTCCCTTCAGAGCCAGGGATGGCACTCAATAGACAGTAGGCACTAAATAAGTGTTACCGAAATGCCATGAAGATGAGATGGCACAACGAGGGTAATAACATACAAATTACAACAATCGCAGTAACCTCGAAACCACCTGGCCCGACACGCCCACCAGTGCGATGCCTTGACCACAGCAGGTGCTTGATAAAGGCTTCGAACTGAATGCTGGGTATGGAGGCTCAGAGCTGTGGACACAGATAAGCAGGGCGTAGTCCCTCCCACGGAGGGGCCAGGGGTCCAGGAAGGGTCAGAAGGCCAACATTCTGCAGGATGCTGTAACCAGAGCTCAAAATCCTGTCCTGACAGGCACTCGCATGTGTCCCAGGCAAGTGGCTCAGGCTCTTGGGGCCCAGGTGCCACTCTGTCCAACTTGAGATAACAGCAGCCCCTCAAAGGTTTTTGGGGGTCAAATGAGGAAATGCCCGTGAAGCCCACAGCCCAGCATAATAACAGTCTTCGGATAATTGGACCTCGTTGTGGGTTCCCAGGCTGCTCGTCTATGAAATGGGGTGACCTGAGGGTGGTGTGAGGGCCGGTAAGGAAGTCTGCCTCCCACTGAGGCCGGATTGTGGAGGGGGCCTGATCCAGCCCCCACCCTTCATAGGGGCCTGATCCAGCCCCCACCCTTCATAGGGGCCTGATCCAGCCCCCACCCTTCATAGGGGCCTGATCCAGCCCCTACCCTTCATAGGGGCCTGATCCAGCCCCCACCCTTCATAGGGGCCTAGCCCCACCCCCCTCATTCCTCCTTGAGGGTCTGGCCCTGCTCCTTCCACAGGGACCCCTTCCACCTCCTGAGGGGCTTTGGGGGAGGGGAAGGAGAGGGAGAGGGGCCTGCTAGTCTCACACACGCGGCTGCTGCCGCCTGGACCCTGGGCTGCCCTCACAGCTGGACTTTGCTCTTCAGGACACACACCTCCTTGGGAAAAAGCCCAGAACCGGCTGTGGCCTCGGAGGATTCTTCTTTCACATGTTTTAAGGAACTAAAAAGGGAAGGATCCCCTGCTTCCCAGACCACAGTTCCAGCACCCATGCCAGGTTGGTCCTGGTCTCGGGGACGTAGAACTGCCCACCATGGGCGATCCTAAGCCCAGGTCCTAAGCTCTCTCACTGGCTCTGCCCCTACCCGGACAGCAGGTTAGCTCTGCAGGGTGGTGGGAGGCTCAAAACCCAAGAAACCTGAGCTTTTCCCCAATCAACTCCTGGGATCTGAACGATGCCTTTCTCCTCCCCATGCCTCCACAGTGCCCACGTTGGTGCTGGCCACCATGCTCCACAGGGGTGAGAAGACCACCTCCTTCTTGACAGACAAGGGCACAGCATGACCCTGCTGCTGAAAATCCCACCCAGAGGGTGAGCCCCTGAGTCCCAGCTGCTCAGAAGATGAAGGACCCTTCACGAAAAGGGATGGCTCCCCGAGGCTCTTCCAGAAGCCTGTGAGGAGAAGCTTCCTTGAAAAGCCAATATCACAACAGCCTCAGGCAGGGCAAGCTGGCTGCAGCCGCCTGACTGCTTGCCCAGGCGCCTGCACCCACCTCCTCAGGTTCCTCCTCTCTCAGGCGGCTAGGCTTGGTGTAGTCCAGGGGCCGGTCCCACTCGTCCTGGCGGGAGGCCTGGCTGGACTGGGGAGAGGTCATGGAGCTGCTGGGGGCGCTGGTGCTGCTGTGGCGCTGGGAGGCGTCGGGAGACTTCACACCGGGGCTGCTGCTGCAGCTGCTGCTGCTGGGGAAAGCATTTTCTCGTTTGCGGTGTTTGTGCATGCTCAAGTCCAGGGTTCCATTTTCGTCTACCTCGATATCCACAGACTGCAATGGCAAAGGTGAGATCTGTTAGCGATTCCATCCCTTCCCATGTGTGCCTTCTGGTCCATTTGAATCAAACGTACAGAGTCCAGAACACTGGTTCCCATAGAAGGAAGCAGGACAACGGGGACAGACAGGCAGCGAGAGGGAAAAAATCCAGCTGCCATTTCCTGATTTCCCATGAAGGGGGCCCTACAATTCCTCTTGCCTCCCAACAGCACAAAAACCAGTCCCTCAGGACATGTCATAAACACGGGTAAGACTAGGTCCTCTGAGCAAGGAGAGTGTGTCAGCAACCACAAGACTGCGGGAAACACGTGTGAACAGGGCACGTGCACCGCCCTGGAGTCAGAAGGAAACACATGGGCATGTGTGTGCACCACCCTCAGGCTCAGAGGGAGACACGCGGGCGCATGGTGTGCACACAACCTAACACGTGGGAACTTGTGTTCGCAGCCCTTGGTCCCCCTTCACTCAGCACACCAGGTTCTCCTGGTGGACCCATCCAAGCTCTGCGGTCCTTGGGGCCATGGCCAGGAGGGAGAAAAAGTTAAGAATGAGAATTGCCAGCTAGGCACAAGCCATTCCTAGGGACATTTTGTGCAGAGAGCAGGTGGGCCTGACTGCAAATTCCACCAACTCACCTCTCCCAAGAAAGGCTCTGTGGCAGATGTACTAACCTTGCTGGGGAGGTCCTGTGGCTTCGTGCTGAGGTTCTCAGGCATCTCCCAGCAGCGCGTGGAGAGGTTCAGGATGGCAGTGGCAGCCATGTGTGCAGCCTCGGCGTCCTGCGAGTAGTCAAAGCCTGCAGAAGAGGATGAAGTGCTCCTCACATAACTACTGGAGGGGCTGTGCCTGGGGGAAGAGGCCTTTGGGAAAGGTTTGGCTGCAAAAAGGGAACAACACCAGGCTGATATACAACTTGAAAAGAGGCAGCAATGCAGACAAGTCAGTGGGGAGGGGGCACTTTGGGAGGGATGGGAGGGCCCAGGGCACAGCTATATCGAAGTGGGCCAGGGGCTTGGCCACCCGTCCCAGTCCCAAGTCCTCACACACCTCACTCCCACCCACCCTCCTCTAGGGGACTGAGGAGACAATCTTGTTTCTGGCTCAGTGAAAATTTGGGCAAAAGGAGTAAAAGCCTCCAAGACATTCCAGCAGCCCTGATATTTCAAACAAAAATAACTTGTCTATCAGAAACTGAAGCATTCTGTGAATAGGATGAGTGTTTGCCATATCGCCCAAATAGGAAAATTTTGTCCCATGATCTCAAAAGGGTGTACCCATATTTAGGCTGACTTGGTGTCCCCGGTAACCATCACTGCCTTAAAAAAGTAACATTATTGCTCAAATGAACATGACAAATGAAGGCACAGAATGTTATCTTTTCTAGCAATTGTACTGTAGCTGCAAAATCACTCTCATGCACGATGTTCTCAGCAATCACGATGTCACCAGTATATCCAGAAAGGTCTAGATATATTGGAAAGCTTATCGTGAGGTCCCCCTCTCCACTGGCACCATTGCATTCCCTCATCCAAGTAGGCATGTGTGCCTGGAGGCAGGAAGTCCTCCATCCTAAAGAGCAGGTTCTGTCAAAGTTAGGAAGAGAGGCTCACACCCCACTGGCAGCCGCATCAATCAGTACTTTTATTATTCTCATGTAGGAAACTCGTCACGTCATGTTTGGGGCTGACAACATCTGCCCCGCGATGCCACTCCCAATCTCATGTGTACACTGAATGCTTTTCCATTTCGCATGCACTTCCAGGGCTAATGGGCTTATTCCACAAATTAGGGCAGTAAGTGACAAGACAAGACAGAAAGGATTGTTCTTAAAGATTTGTAGGAATGATTTTTGTCAGTACAATTACCCAGAAAATTTGTTACTAATGTCACAGATAACACATTGTATCCAGTAAGATGGTCCCCACCAGGAGAGCAATGGCTTCCTGCCAGGGCACTGGGCCCAGCCCCGCAGTCATCTGGCCCCACCCAGCCCACAGTCTGACCCTCCCCAGAGGCAGGGCTGGGAAATGGACAGCCGGCTGCACTGGGATTAAACAGGTAGCAGGAGGACAGTGGGGAGAGTGGCGTCTCCCAGTGTGAACCATGCTGGTGGGGTTGCTCTGAAGTCTTTGGACACACACGCCCGTAACGGATCTGGGTTTTGTTTCACAAATAACTAGGAGACACATAAATGTTAATGGTGAACATGAAGGTGGCAGCAGGAGTGAGATGCAGGCCCCAAGAAAGCCACCACAGTGCCCACTGGGACAGCTGAGACCTCCAGCCTGCATCGTGGTCCTCCCATGAGGGTAGAGTTTCCCTCCCTAGTAGCTCCTCGAGAGGGTCCCTCCTCCACTGCCCCTTGAATCCTGCCCCTCCCAGGAGCAACACAGAAGAGAAACAAGAACAATTCTCCCCAACTTACATTGAAAGGCTTTAGGTGAGGTTTCGCTGGTCTGAATCTTTGGGGCAAGCATGCGTTTGCCAAAAACCTGAGCATCGAAACTTGCGTAGTCAAAGGTGACCTTGGAGAACTTCTCCAGCTCCTTGGCCAAGTTGGCCCTGGGTGTGGCGGGGGCCACGTTGGGCCGGTAGCTCCCATATGGAGGGACCTCGAGCTGCTTCACGAAGCACATGGGCCTGGGGTGCAGTACAGGGATGCACAGCCAGTGAGATGGGACCTGGGGATCCCGTGCCACCCTCCCCAACCCCAATCTGCAGCCCAGGCAGGGGCCTCACAGCGTCTGGTGAGGAAGGAGACTCAGGAAGACACTACCCCTGCATATTCCACCACTAAAGCTGGGCAGAGTTCCACCTCCCAGGGTCAAGGGCTCCCAGAGCAGGCCGGTGAAGAATGGCCTGCAGGGAGGAAGCAATAGGACCCTCAAATAATCAATGGCCTGTCCTGCTGACAGCATCAGATAGAGGAGGGCCTAAGATTTTCCCCAGAACTTAGGAGAGCAGGTTTCAAACAGCTCAGCTGCAACTGGAGTGAGTATCAGGCAGGGCCAAAGAGTAGCATAGCCCAGGACAATAGCAAGACACTCCAAGGCAGCATAACCTAGAACTCCCCAGCAAGGAGGAAGCTGAGGAATCTACAGGAGACGCTAGTTGTATCAGGTGCATTTCTGAGGAGTGGCCTCAGGGCCAGGCCTGACCCTTCTTCATTCAGCCAGGGACTCAGCCCTCAGCTGCCCTCTTCTTAAAGCTGTGTTGAGGTGGACCCTCAAGGAACTGTTGGAAGGGTCAGCAACAGCCACGAAAAAGCTACTGCAAGCATTCAGTTCACTGCCACTAATGCTCTTGGAATACTTCAGGATTTTACATGCACAAAAGATGGCACGAAGAAACTGGCATAGAAGGCACAGGGGCAGGAAGACTGGTGGTAGATGCTGGTGACCACACAGGCACAGAGGAGCTTCTGAACCTGGCAGCTCAGAGAAGAGGAGATCCTGGCAAGCAGCCATGGCTTTCTTTGTTCCTGTCTGGACCAAGCAATGACTTCAGTCTGGAAAGTGTACAATCAGTGGAATTAAGAAGGAGCTGACAATGACAGCCTCCAAGGTGCTGGGTGCTACGAGAACTTAAGTGTGGACTAAGAACAGAGCCCAGCACAGAGGACCACCAGGCCAGCCCTGCAACCACGGCCAGCTCTGATGGGCCTGGAAGAACTGAACACTACCAGGACGTGGGTGTTTTCTCCTTCTCCAGGAAGGGTGGGAGCCCCAGGATGGATCCTGACCCCAGTGGCAGATAGAAAAGTTGCAAGAGTGAGGCCAGGAGGGAAAAAACTAACTTTAAACTTAACATTGGGTCAGGTATGGTGGCTTATGTCTATAATCCAAGCACTTTTGGAGGCCAAGGCAGGTCTGTTGAAGCCAGGAGTAAGAAACCGGCTTGGGCAACCTAGTGAGACCCTCTCTACAAAAAAAAGAAAAAAAAAAAAACGCAAAAAAAATAGGCAGGTATGATGGCACATCTGTATTCCTAGGTACTCGGGAGGCTGAGGTGGGAGGATCACTTGAGACCAGGAGTTTGAGGTTATAGTGAGTTATGATTGAAACCACTGCACTCCAGCCTGAGCAACAGAGTGACACTCTGTCACTAAAAATAATAATAATAATAATAAGCTTAACATTGGTACCACCGTTGATGGCTTCCTTGACCAAGGCTTCAGTCAGAATCTGTACACTTATTGTCCACAATGCCAACGAAGCTTTGCAAAGCCCGTCCTCACACCCCAAAGTTCGATAGCCAGAAATGTGGGCTGGATAGAATCAAAAGGGCCTAACGGGAGGCCTCCTCCACCCTAGCCACAATCTCTCTAGCGTTCAGTGAGTATTCACCATGGGCTGAGGGCGGCAGAGTGTCACTTGAGCCTCATGAGCGACTTAGTTTGTTGTCCTACTTTTATAAGTGAACAAACTGAGGTCATAGTCCCAGGGAGTGCAGTCTCCAAAGTTGGAGCCTGTTTGACACCCCTGCCTGGCCTCACACGGGGGCCAAATCTGCGGTTTGACATTTTATCGGTGATTTAGATCAAAGAGGGAAAGGATTGAATTAGCAACTGACAGGAAGCTGGAGGGAACAGCAAATAAGATAGAGGAAAAAAGCAGCTTCAAACCATTGTGAGAGCCAGCTGGTGGAAAGCAGCCTGCTGGGACCTGCAGGGCTGAAGGTGCCTGTGTGTGGGATGGCAAGCATGCCCACAGAGCAGGAAGGCAAGTCTCTGTGCTCTGCCCAGAGATCCCACGTGTGGGAATTGCACCTTCAGAGGAACACTCTGGAGCAGACCAGGGAAGGGCCTGGGCATGACACAGCCAAGGTGAGCAGCGAAGATCATCTGGCTGGAACTTTGCCAATTATGTGCCAGGAAGGGCCGGGGTCAGGTGGGCCCCGAAAGGAGGCGGACAGTGGAAGGGGCTATGCAGTCATTCACGCTCACCCCAGCCGGGGTCTCCTACACTCTTGTCTGGTGAGACAGATATGGAACAGGGGTCTGAGAGCTGGGGAGGAGGAGCTGTGTGTGAGTTCTAGTTCCTCACGGGAGTGGGGAGCAGGGTGTCTGCAGGTGAAGACAGGAGCAGTGGAAGTGTCCTCTTCGACAGTGGGTACCGTGGTCCAAGGACTCAGCTCCATAGAGGAGAGACTTTGAAGCCAGGCAGGATGGGCAGGGTGGCCTTGGGCAACTCTCTGAGCCTCTGGCCTTATTTGTGGCACTTACTTCTTAGAGCCACATGGAAGGAGGGGACACTAATGGGACACATTCTGAAAGATCCTTATTGATTAGAGCCAAATTTACACATGCACACACACATGGACTTGCACGCACATGTAAACATACTCGCACATATGCGAACACAAACAGGCGTGTGAACATGCACACACACGCTCCCACGTGTTCACATACACATGGACTTGCACGCACATGTAAACATACCCGCACATATGCAAACACAAACAGGCGTGTGAACATGCACACACACGCTCCCACATGTTCACACACACCTACTGTGATCTCAGAACCTCAGGGGCCACAAAGCACTCTGGGGAGCAAAGCCTGCACCCACCCTCTTCCTTGACTTGGGGTCTATCCCTGGGGTCGGGGAGGGACAGGCAGGACGGCCAAGGATTAGTGGCTCATGGTGCTTCCTGGACGTCCGTGGTCCTTGGCTGGTGCAGTCTGCTCTTTCCAGACAGGACCAGCATCTCCACAAATGAATCCCCAAGGGGCCTCAAGTGGTCACATCAGACGACTCCAAGGAGGCAGAGCCCCATGTCGGAGGCAGAGGCAACTGTGCAGGAGTTTGCGCTTTGGCTGAGGCACTGGCGAATGTGGTAGACATGAGACTCTGTCCTGTGTGGCTCCAAAACTGCCCCGCAGTTCTGCTCCTGGGGGGCCCGGGGCATGTGCACACTCACATGCACGTACACTCACATGCACGTACACTCACACACATGCACTCACACACATGCACATACAGCCTGCGGGAGACTGAGAAGCCCTCTGCAGGCATTTGGGAGGCAGCCTCTTCAGTTCTGTGGCTCATCTCACTCACCTGAGGATCCGATCGGAATTGGAGCTACTCTTGGAAGGATCTCCTGTCTGCGGCTGCTGCTTCTCATGGGATTTGGCTAATTTTTCGGCGGCAGCAATGGGACACCCAGACAAACTAGAGGAAGGAAGAGGAGGGGTTTCTGAGCCTTCCCCTCCATGCCTGTCCTGTCCTGGGTGTCTGTGTGTGTGGGTGTCTCACGGCAAGGTCATTCAGATGTGAGAACTCCAGGTGAACTCCAGAGAAGCCCAGAGCCGGGAATAACCCTGTCATTCTGCAGGACAGGGGTTTTCTCTCTGGCTCTGTTCTTGAGCCCTCACAGTACAAGCTGCCCAGTCAGTTTCTGTTTTGGAACATTCTATGCCAAGGACACACAAAGATGAAATATATCCTAAAGGCCTTGAAAGCTCTGGGCAAAGATGCCTCCTCTGCATGGGTCTGGGAGACAGGCTTGCCCTCACCCCCTTCCTCTCCCTTCCCAGCTTGCAGGGCTGGATTCTGCAGCCCTCTCTGGCGCTTGTTCTGTTAGCTGCTCTGGGGCAGCCCAGGGCCCCACTTGGACCACAGCCTGGGCACTGACCCTGGATGACACAGGCCCAGGAAAGTACTCAGTCTAAGACACGGAGGCAGCAGCTTCATCTGTCAGAATAAAGTTAACTGTGAGCTCCAGCGCCAGTCCCTCAGCCAGCCCAGGGAGGTGACGTAATGGGGAACTGGCCTCTTTTCAAATGAAGTGACCTCAAAAGCTCTGGCAGTCCTTTCAGCTGAGCATAAGCCTGCTGGGGGAAAGCATATCCCACCGAGGCCACGGCCACCCATGGCACTTAGGGTAAGGCTGGAGGAGTAGTCCCCCCTCACCATAGAAGACCAGTCAACAACTACACCTCGAGGGTGGTCGGGAAGCTTCACTTCCACCTGGGCCTCAGAACTCCCACAAAGCAGCCCAGAGCACAGTCCTGGCCTGCCGAGGTTACTGTTCATGTCTGCCCTTCCCACTCAGGAGCAAGAGCCAGTGTGCAGAGGTTTTCTGAATGTGGGTAGGACACAAAGTATTCACCTGGCTCTCACATGGTTGTTGTACCTCTCTTCACAGAGGGTGCATTGCTCCCTCCTCTGCAGGCCGCCCCCTGCTCTCTCGGGAGCTCGTAGGGTTAAGGCAGCAACACCACTGGGTGACTGCACCTCCAGTTGCCACTCTGCCCTCACAAAGGCCCCTCACCGCCCAGGTGTGCCCTGACCTTGTACCCACTCCTCAGGGCGGCAGGCTGGGAGAAGGGTAGCACACAGGGAGCCCCAGGCAGGCCAGAGCCCCGTCCCAGGTCACGGGCTCACGGCCCAGGCAGGGACACACAGGCCCAACCCAGGTGCCCTACCCCACGTGGAGCCCCCCACCACGGCCCCCACCCTGGCCCCCACCACGGCCCCCACCCTGGCCCCCACCACGGCCCCCACCCTGGCCCCCACCACGGCCCCCACCCTGGCCCCCACTACGGCCCAGCTCAGTCCAAGTACCTTCTGTGCGTGTTGCGGTTGCTGTTCACGTGACCCTGGCCTGTGCAGCCAGGAGTGGGGCACTTCAGCACGTTCTCATGCATGGCTAAGACTGTAAGAGAACAGGGGGTGGAGGGAGCCGAGGCTGTCAGAGAATCTGGGGAGCGCCAGCTGTGTGGGGAGCACAGGCTGAGGAGGGTGCAGGAGCCTTGTCCAAAGGCTGCTGCTTGGTAGGCAGGTGGGGGACACAGCAACGCAGGGCAGCTCCAGCCCCCAAGAGCCTGCAGACACAACTCCCCACCCTCAGCCTGGTCAGGGCATGCCCCCCACCGCCACCACCACTGTGGTCCCTCCCTCCTGCGGCAGAAACCAGACTCAGCTTTAAAACCTCTCATTCTGTGGTTTGCTCCTTTAAATTTAATTTTCACAATTACTGCTTCTAGCCTAAACATAAGAACAAGTATTTGCTTCCTAAGCTTTCAGGGCACAGAGGTTGCTGCAAGAAGACCTCTCCCTTCCCAGCTTGGATGGCACTAGCCTGTCCCCCTCCCATCGATCTGTTACTGTGGGCTCTGACCCGGACTGGCGTCTCTAGGTAGACAAATGGGCTGGTTGCAGGGCCCCAGCCTCAAAGGGCTCAAGTTTGGGCTGAGGGAGTTTGTGGGGGAAAGCGGGGAGATGTAAGGATGAGCATCTGGACAAACCAAAGGGGAAGGTTATGGCCCTGGGCAGGCCACGCCTCCCCATAGACACCACCCAAACACCACAGAGGCAGCGTGAGCTTCACAGTTAGGGCTAACGCTGCACAGAGCTACTCACTCTCTGGGGGGATCCTATCCTTGTGGGGACAGCCAGAAAGGCTGCGGTGGTGAGGGTACAACCCGGTAACGTGGCCAGTGCCATCACAGCCTGGTGTTGGACACTTGATCTCACGCTTCTCAGCTCTTGAAGGATCTAAAACACACAAGTCACATCAGTTAGAGCCAGGAAGCTGGGTGGTGAGCAGAGAGGGGGCAGGGGTAGCTCAGGAACCCTCTCTCTGGCTGTCCAGAGAGAAGGGAGGCGAGACTGCCCATGAGCTTGAACAGGGACTGGGGCTGGACAGTCAGGAGACCCTGAAGAAACCAGCCCACACTGGCTGCCTGTGCGGAAGCCCTGAGGCTGCCCTGACAATCCCAAATAGCAGTTTGTGCAGCGTTTTAAGGAGAACAACCCAGACGGCCGCTGGAGTCCTCTTTCCTCTCTCCTCTGACAGTGTGGAGGCCTCATGGGTCAGCCTTCTGCCTAGAGAGGTCAAGGCGTTTGGCAATATTCCTGCCAGGAGATATCCTTGGGATTTGACAAAACGAGGAAGACAAAGGAGTTGAGTAACTTATCCAAGGCTGCATGACTAATCTATGCCTGGGCAGAAATGTAAACCCAAATCTCAGTTATCGACCTCTTCTAGCCTCTGCAGGTCCAGGCCGGTCACTATAGAGTATAGGGACCAGCAGGAACACGGAGGACCCTCAGAGCAGAGCTGACATCTCAGTGAAACACCTTTGGACGAGAGCTGTCCCCTTTGGGAGGGTGCAGAGGTCACAGAGCCAAACTCAGAACTCCCACCTCAGAGCAGGAGGGTCCCAGGAGGGGGCTCCAAAGGGAAGGAGCTCTTGCTCTGCTGCCCCAAGTTCAAAGGAGTCAGACTTCCACCCATGTGGACAGGCAGGGGTGTCCTGAGGGGCTTCCAAACCCGTGCCCAACACCGGCCTCCTGGGCTTGCCACCCCTGTCCCACGGCCTCTGTCCAGAATTCTCGCAGCATCTGTGCCCCAACATCAGTCCCTCAGAACCAGAACCGCACGTTCACGTTGCACAGACACTCACAGCCCAGCTGGGCACTGCCTGGTGTTCTCAGCTTGGCCACCTGTGTCACCCGGGGCCGTGTCCCTTTGGGTCCATGCACTGAAAATCTATCCCTGAAGGCAGGATGCCTTGCATCTGGGTCCTCCTATGTCTGTCCCACAGGTCTGAGACCCTCAAAAACCTGGGCCTAGGGCTGTCACTTGGTGTCTGTGTTCCT
This sequence comes from Homo sapiens, assembly GCF_000001405.40. Lineage (NCBI taxonomy): Eukaryota > Metazoa > Chordata > Mammalia > Primates > Hominidae > Homo > Homo sapiens. The sequence goes on along the minus strand of NT_187624.1, from coordinate 118,689 downwards.
CATATGTGTCCCACCAAATTCTGCGCTGATCTGTGCGGCCCAAGCACACCACAGCCAGGCTAGTAACCACCCCGGGCCCTTGACACCTGTCCCTAAGTCTCACCTTCAGCCTGTGTCTCTTTGTGCCCATGGCCCCACAAGGCCGGAGCATGACACTGCCGACCTAAATCTGGGTCCCCAAAGAGCTGTCCCGCCATCTGGGTTGCCCTAAAGGGTGTCCCCGCAAAGCCATTCTTTGGGTCCATCTCACCCTGAAACCATGTCCCCACCTGTGTCCCCTTAGCATCTTTCCCCTGAGCTTGTCTCATATGCCTGGTGTTCCCGGAAAACATGTCCCTCGTGTCTCCACTGACCTGCCTATCATGCCCCTTGAATTATGTCTCACTCAGGTCTGTCTCTCCCATGACCCAAGTGCATCTTCCCAGGGTTGGCAATTCCGTGTCTCCTGCATTTTTGGTTCGTGGCTCCAGCACCTGAGTCATCTCCCATCCCAGTTCTCTCTCCTTATCTGCTCCCTCCCTGGTCTCAGCTAACTCTTCCTGGGGGCACTCATTGGAAGAGCACCAAGAACTCCCACTGCCCCCGTCCACCTGGAGAAGAGATGCAGGACTAGACATGGGGAAAAAAGAGGCCGAGATCAGGGCAGGTCCCTAGTCTTAGGAGAATAGAGGCCAAGTGCCCAGGTGCAGGAGGCCCTCCGCACCAGGCCGGCTGGGTCAAAGCTGACCTGTCCAAGGCCTGGCCTCCCTGGCATGGCTCACTGAGGGAGCAGCCCCTGGCCAGCCCTGCTCCCCAGACCCCTGTCCCAGGAGGAATCTGAGATGGGCAGTCAGCAGAGCAGAGCCAGCCTGTTGTCCAGACCCTGACACCCCAGTAACAATGAAGGCCGTAACCGTTTACTCAGGATTCGTCCTCAGACCTCAGCACTCCAGGCTCCCAGCTGCTCCCCAACCACATCAGCTGCTTCCCAGCTGCTCCCCAACCACGTCAGCCCAGCCCCAGGCCCCTCCAAGCAGCCCTCCTTGTCTATCCTCACCTCAACATCAGCCACTCCGTGCGATCAGGGGATGGCTCCCCTGTACCCTGCACACTTTAGAGCCAAATCCAGAGACAGATGCAGAGCCAGCGGCAGGCTGCTCCCTCTGAGGAGCAAGGGCACCCCTCACATCTGCCTGCTGGTCTCCACCCCACGAGAGGATCAGGATGACCCAGCATGGCTGTAGGAAACAGCGGGTTCTGTCATAGCACAATCCCTGCCACGAGTGTGAGTTGGGGTGGAAGGGACAGGACGGTCCCCACCCTCTCCAGACCCCAGATGCTGCTGTGACCAGTCACTGTGGGTGGGTCACTGTCCCTCCCACCTCCTCTCTCCCACCTGGTTCTTTCTCACACGTCTCCGCTGTGTCTCGCTCCAGATCGCTCTATGTAAAGCAGTGTGGGAACCCATTTGCTCAGTATCTGACCACAGTCTGTGTCATGTATTTGTCCTTTTGTCTGCTTTTCTGCCATCCCCCAGCCCCCTGTCCTAGAAGGGCTCTCAGCCTGCATCTGCACACCTGGGGCAGGGGTGAAAGGATGAGTCTGCAGGGCCAGGCCACCCCTGAGCCCTACCTTTACTGTAGTAACTCTTCCGCACAGTGTCCAGGGGCTTTGCTGCCTTCCCTGGCTCTCCCAGGCCCAGCTGGCTCTGCTCGGCAGGCGGGCAGCCCGGCTCGCAGACTGTGCGCACCTGTTCAGCCTTCAGGGCGATGGCCTGCTCCAGGAGGCCCAGGTTTCCCCGGGTCATCATGTCCTGCATCTCCGACTCGTCAGTGACTGTTGACTTCCGGGAGTGGGTGTCCTCGTCCTTGTCATCATCCGAGCGGACCTCCACAATAACAGAGTACTCAGGCTTGGGACTGGGTGATTCTGGGCCCCGGAGCTCAGGGGCCTTCTGGGCAGAGGTGTGAGAGGTGTCTTCCTGAAAGATCACATCAGGAGCTGCCTCCTCCTCCTCCTCTTCCTCTTCCTCTTCCTCCTCCTCTTCCTCTTCCTCCTCCTCCTCTTCCTCTTCCTCCTCCTCTTCCTCTTCCTCTTCTTCATCCTCCTCCTCCTCCTCTTCCTCCTCCTCCTCCTCCTCGTCCTCCTCTTCGTGACTCAGGATGCCTTTCTGCTTGCTGGACTCCTCACTGGCTGCATCCTCCAGGGACTGGGGACACAGGTCCTGGGAGCGCTCGGTGGTGACTTCGACGACCTCCTCGGCATCCTCTGGCTGGATGAAGAGGCCCTTTTCACCCTCCTCGCTGGCAGCTCCCTCTGCAGCCTCCTGAAGCAGGTGCACAATGCCAGGACCTGGCTTGGCCGCCTGGCCCAAGTCCTCTTCCACCAGGGTCTCTTCAGCAATTTGACCCAAGTTCAGGAGAGAAGTTGCGATGATTCCCTGGTAGCTGCTGTAGCTGCCCTTGGAGGAGGCAGTGGCGCTGCCGATGGGGTTGGATCCAAAATGGGACTTGACGGGGCTCCTTCCTGCACAAAATCAAAATCAACGTGGGGGCCAGAGAGCACGTGGGAAGACTCCAGGTCTCCAGTCCCCAACACACCCACCACCCCTCCACCTGACCTACCACTCACTCTTTATACGGGAGCCAAGGGGAAACATGAAACTCCAGAAGTGGGGATTTGGTATGGACCTTTCTGTCAACCCTTCTGCCTGAATCCAGAAATCACGGTGAATATATTTTAGGAGGCAGGTCATGGGCCACTGATGTATTTTTTAAACTAAGAATTACTTTGATACTTTTTCTTAATGTTCCTCTCCCATCACGTTTACTTTCCCAAATCAGATAAACCTGCATTGTATACAATGGAGCTTAAGCAGCAAGTCAGATTTTAAAAAAATAATAATAATTGTTTCATAATTGAAAATCAGTAAATAAGAATGGGCTCGGTGGCTCATGCCTGTAATCCCAGGACTTTGGGAGGCCGAGGCGGGCGGATCACCTGAGGTCACGAGTTCAAGACCAGCCTGGTCAACATGGCGAAACCCTGTCTCTACTAAAAATACAAAAATGAGCTGGGCGTGGTGGTGCACACCTGTAGTCCCAGCTATTCCTTGAACCAAGGAGGAGGAGATTGCAGTAAATCAAGATCGTGCCCCTGCACTCCAGCCTGGGCAACAGAGTGAGACTCTCTCAAAACAAAAACAAAACGAAACTAAGATATGGTAGGTGCTCACCACATGCAGGCCCCGTAGGGTTGTCAGCAAGGACACCTGGGCCAGCACGTCCCACAGTGGTAGGAATGGGCCCTGCCATCCACCTACTTCGGAGGGGAAAGTCCAAGCCCAGGTTGACAGCTGAACCCCAGACGCCCTTCTTGATAAGAAAGCAGGAAAATGTGTGTCTTTTCTACCTGGGATCTAGGACTATGTTGATTCCACGGGACAGCGCACTCACTCCAGAGCCCCCCAAGGGAGCTGGGGTTGAGGACCCTCTCTGGCTTTGCTTCTGAAATCCATCTCAGACCCTTCCCCACTGCAGAAGCTTGGGGAGTGCTGGGTGAGTGGTGGGGATGGTGGGGGGAGTGGACCTTGGGCCTCATCTGACCCCAGGTCTCTACAGATCTGCCAGGGCTCTCAGGGGCACAGACCCCTCCCTCCGGGACCCAGGGGCCAAAGCACCTGCTTCATGCACTTTTGCCAAGGGCTAGGAGCTCCAACATGGCAGTCCTGGTAGACCCCACAAGGAAGTGGGGGACTCGTCTGCTTTCCTCCTTCCCCTCTTGGCCTCCCCGGGCACCCCGTCTTCAGAGGCTCCATCTGGTCCTCAATCACCTGAAGCTCAACCTGAGGTGTTTCCTCAGCATCTGCCTGTGAGTACCTCAGGGGAACGCAGACCTCTCACCCATGCCCCCAGGCAGGTCTCCCAGAGGGCCAGGCAGAACAGAGGGCCAGTCTAAGATCCTCCCTTCCCCACTTACAGACACACAGAGACACAGCCTTGTCTGTCTCTCTCATATACATGCAGACACACCTGCCAAAACACACTACAACTGCACACACACACACCAGCCCCGTGTCTCTGTCTGTCCTGCCTCTCTCCTACGCACACAGTGTTCACACACAAACACACCACAGGCCCCATAAACACCATGGGCAGACCTCTCTCCCAGGAAGCCCAGCACATGTTGGGACAAGACATGCCTTGTTCTCAGGAAGGGCTTTCTCTTGCCCGGAGTGAGCCCCTCCCCGCTCACAGGCTGCAATTCTCCAGGGCCACACTAAGCGCCCTTTATTCGGGGAAGAAAGAGCGACAAAGCACCTTCAGCTGTCTCGGGGCGATGAATCTCGTCCTGTCCTGACGTCTCAGCCTCGGCCCCCTCCAGAGTTCCTTCCGATTCATCCGAAACAGAGGCGTCCTTCACCTCAGTGTCCTCACTGCCGTCGCTGTCCACACCATAGCCCTCGTCCAGAGCCAGCTTCAGGGGGTGTGACTTCCTCTTGGACACCAGGTGCTCAGCCTCAGCGCCCTCCAGCTTCCTCTTCTTGGCCAGGGGGCAGCTCTGTAAACTGGGAGGGAGGAGTAGGCAGTGGAGAGGACCAGGCTAGGGCCACGAGAGGCCTCAGACACCCCATGAGCCCCTCCCGAGGGTCCTCCCTCCCTCCCTTCCCCACAGACTCATCCAGTCCTTGCAGGGAACCCGGACAAAAAAAGCAAAGTGCAGCACTAGGGGGTCAGATGGTCTGTCTTCGCCCACATGGCACGCCCATGGCCACACGGACCTCCATGCTAGAGTGGGAAGTCGCTGCCTCGCGGGAGGTCAGATGGTCTGTCTTCCCCCACATGGCACGCCCATGGCCACACAGATCTCCACGCTAGAGTGGGAGGTCGCTGCCTCGCAGAAGGGTCAGCAGCCTGGCCTTGGGAGCCATGGAAAAAGATGGAAAGTTCTCCATCTGCAGAGTGGGCAGGGGCTCCAAATCTACCGCCCAGGAATCTCCGTGAGATCCAAGGGTCCTCTTACCTTCGGTGCCTGGAGTACTTGCCCCGGACGTGCCCTGAGCCTGTGCATCCTGGGGTGGGGCAGCTGAGGGGAAATAAAAAGGCAAGGCCACATCAGGCGATGGGCTCAGATCTCAGAGCCTGTCGCAGACCTTCACCCTGGGGAGCAGAATGTCTCCAGACGATTCACCTCAGAATGGCTGCCTGCAGTTTGCTGAAAATTAATAACTCGCCCCATTCAAATAAATAAATGGCTCATTACAGTTTTACGAGTGTTCAATTAAAGACTGTGTATACATAAGAGCAAGACTTCTAGCGCCAGAGTCTCCCAGACCGCTCCCCACGGCAGGCATTCCACTAGCTGCCACCAGGTTTCCAGGAGCTTGGACACGAGACGCTCTGAGGTGCCCTGAACACGGCACCCCTCTCTAAAGAGGTCCCAAGTCCAAAGCACAGAAGTTGGCATTCTCTGTGGCCATCACTAATGCCATAAGGCCTATGGCCCTCGAGGGTAACAGTCTCTGCATTCCCTGCCAGCTGTGACCTTCGTGCCCCAGCAAACGGAGCCAGGACTGACAGGCAGAAAGGAATCTGTGGCCCAAGCCACAGACAGTGGTGAAGATCCCACCAGTGCCTGTAGCTGGTGTGGGTCCCAGCTTCCACGCAGGGAAAAGAAGCCGGGAGGGCCCGTGAACCAGGAACCAACAGCATCTGCCTCGTGGAAGACTTTTGGGCTGTGCTAAGAAGGGCAGTTTGGGGAGGGGGTGACACTGACCCTCCTGCATCTCTCACCCTAGAAGCACAAGGCAGGACACCCAGGAGTTCCTCTTCCTTAACCATCATCTGTCTCCCTATATAACCAAACCAGCAGGAAGCTCTGGAAACTTCTGAGCATGAGTACTGACTATGCCAACCAACGTGGCGGCAGGACCACAGCTCCCACAGCAGCCTCAGGCACAAAGGGGCCAGTGTGGAGTGTAAGGCCAGAGTTCACCATGTATCAGGCTCCTGTGGGCTGTCGGATGCATCCACGGCTCAAGGACTACAAGGAGCTGCCATTGTAAGACCCAGACGCCTGTGCCAGGTCACCTAAGGCAGGTGGGAGGGGCAGGCCTGCGCTCCTTGTGGGAAGAGAGAGGCTTTCCTGGCCAAGATGGGAAGACCTTGCTTTTAACAGGACTGGCATTGTGAGTCTGAGCTCTTTCCAAAACCCAAGCACATCTTCCGGAGCCTGTGAAGGGAGGAAGGTAAGGGCTGGTGCCCCCATACCTGGGACCCGGGGAAAAGAACGCCATCCCCAGTCTCTATCCAGACACCTCTGATCGTTTCTAATTCGACTGATCACAGGCCTGACTGCAGACAACTGTGGGGCCCAGTGGGCTTGCAGGCCACCCTCCCCGACTACCTCTGGGAGAACCGTCAGCAGAATCCAGGCCTTACCCTATCCCCTGGCTCAACAGCAGCCATGGGGTGGGGGAGGGGGATGTTCTCTGCAGCCTTCCAGGGTGGGGTTTTCAGTGTGTTAACAAGAAGACAGAGAGGGAGGGAAGGAGGGAGGGAGGAGGGAAGAGGGAACCCAGACGGGAAGGGAGGGGAAGAGGGAGGAAGAGGGAGAGAGCGAGAGAGGGAGGGCACACCACACTCGACTGGGGGCTCCCTTTCCAAACTGAGGGAGTTGCCGCCGCTGCCACCCACCTCTCCCTGCCTCTAGTCTCTTCTAAAATCCAGGCCCACACTTGCTTTCACTCTTTGGAGAACTAGCTTTGGGACTTTTCACAAAAAAGCTCCTTGTTAATGGGGATTTGAAGCTAAGGTCCCAATTAGCCGATGACATCACTGAGTGAATCAGGCAATTAGGTGACAGCTGCTGTGGAGGCCTGTGGGGACCGGACTGCCCTGAACACGTCACCCTCAGCTCAGAAGAGTCCTGGTCCCCAGGAAGGTGGGCCTGCACCTTCCGGCCCCAGCCTCAGAGGGTGTGAGACACGGCTGTGAGCCCAAGTGCGTGGAGCGGACAAGGCCGCTCGGGGACAGGAAGCTGGAAACCCCTTAGATGCCTGCTCCCCACCCCACAGCCGAGTGGACAAGAGACCCAGCCAGGGCCTCCAAGGGTGTCGTGCCAGCAGATGCCAGCCCTGCAGTTCACCTGCAAGCACACTCAGCTCTTATTTCCTGATGTCCTCTGGGTGCTCAGGGCCAGAGTTGTAGGGAGAGGAAGACGGCCAGGGCTCCAGGACTCCCGAGCCTCTTTTCTCCGGGAGGAGGGAATTCCCCAGCCTTGACTCCCCAGCTCTGACTAGGGCTGGTGTCAGAGATGTGAGGAAAGGATGCACGTGAGGCTGGGAAGAGGGTGTGGCCCACAGTCACCCCTCAGCTGGCATCCTGCATGACAGCTCTGAGGGACCCAAACTTGAAAAGTAGGCGTCAAAGGAGACAAGTCAGGAGAGGAACTGAATCCCAGCCTGGAGCCCCATGCTTCAGCTACTAGCCTTTGAAGACACTGCCTTCCCTGCCTTCCCTCCCTCTCCTGGGGCAGTCATCTGGGTGGGAGTTGGCCAGTGGCTCAAGGAGGAAGGCGCCAGAAGAAGAAGGGTGAGCTACAGACGTGTTCTCTCTCTGAACTTGGAGATGGTCCTGAACTCGGTGTTGTCAGCGCCTCGCTGTCTCAAAGATGCTAACCCCAACCCTAACCTTCCCTAGTCTTCGCCTCTGGCAGAGCCAGTCTGAGGCCATGTGACAACAGATGGACCCAGGCAAAAATACAAGCTGAAACGTCATCAGTTCTCCCGATGGGGTGAAAGGAAAAACCATCAAACTGCTTCTTCGCTCAGGCACTCCCAGTGGGCTCCGAGGTCGGAAATAGCAGCTCAGGGTCCTGCTCGATCCAAGTCCAACCTCTCCTCAGCTCACCTGGTAAACAACCAATGGACTGTCTTCCTGGGAGCTCTGCCTGAGCTGGTGGGGAGGCGAGCTGGGGTTAGGGGCACTGCAGGCTGTGAAGTTCTGAGCCAATGCAGTGTTAAGTCATCCACAGAGAAAGTCCTGCACACAGGGGTTCCCGACACGCAGAGGTTCCCGACACGCGGGGGTTCCCGACACGCGAGGGGTTCCCGACACGCGGGGGTTCCCGACACGCGGGGGTTCCCGACACGCGGGGGTTCCCGACACGCAGAGGTTCCCGACACGCGGGGGTTCCCGACACGCGGGGGTTCCCGACACACGGGGGTTCCCGACAGGTGACTCTGTGTCTGTGAGCTCATCCAGTGCCATGGTCTGCACACAGGACGCGATGCTCCTCTCACAGACCACAACGGTGCGTTTTCTGCGTGGGTCATGCTTCCTGTTCTGGTACCCACGGTGTGGCCCCCACCAGGACAGAGGTCTCGTCTGCTTGTCCGGTCAGAGCCCAGCGTGTGCTGGTAAACAGGTCTCTGGGAGGGGGAACATCATCAGTCCATTTCTGTGGTGTAAATGCTCCCACGATGGCTGGGGCACGCAGTCAGCCAGCACGAGCCACAGGCATGCCCACGTGAAGCGTGTGGCCAACAGATGTTTGAGAATACAGGAATGAATGGTACCTTCCGTGCAGAATGTATTTGATTCCTTGGAACATAATCTTTGTCCTATTTTACTCTAAGCATCACATTGCATGTTAGCAATGAAGAATTGCTGAAGAAATTATTGTTGGAACACTAGATGTCAACACATTTCCCCTAGTTTCTCCATTAAAAAGTTTAAGGGTCTCACTATTACCAAATATGTCAGTTGAGACCACAAGGCTCATGATGAGGGCGTCAAAATCCAAATGCTCACAGAACCCCTCACTTAGACTGGACAGGTCCTCTCAGAATGTTTAAAAACGAACAAATCTATTTGAGAGTCACTTTTCCTTCTGCTGTTTCAAAGCTACAAGAGAGCACCCTGCCATTTGTATTTGCCTTTTCGACTTCCTCCACACTCCATCTGTTACCAAAAAAGCCTGGAGTTTCCTCAACTCCTGTGCCTCACTCACTGCACCCTCGCCTGGGATTCTCCTCCGTCTTTGTCTCCACCGTGTCCCTGGGCGACTCCACGTGGCACCTCCTCTTCCCTTTACTCGGGGTCCTTCTGAGCATCTCTCGCCGTCGCAATCACCGCTTCTTCAGCAGGCTGGCCAAGCAGGCAATGTCTCCCTTCCAGGGAGCCGACCCCTGTGCTTCCGGGGACTGTGTTCTGGGGAGCACCCGGTGTGATGCTGAGGACCCCAGACCGGAAGTGCTGGCACACGACCTGTTTGGCTGAGCTTCCACCCCACCCCTCCCACCTGTTACCCAGGGTGGGGCTTCCAGCAAGTAGCACATGCGATTCAGCTCTTCTGGTTAGATGAAGGTTAACCCCTGAGTCCGTTTCCCCACTTCACAAACAGGATAATAACATCACCAGGCAGTGCTTCCATGACCTTCCCAGAGATCAAGACTGTGATGTGTGACTGACGCAGAGCCTGGGGCTTGCAGCACCCCAACTCCCTCCCGTAGTCCTCCCCCTTCATCTCCAAGTTACGGGGCCTCAAGTGTCAGAGGGACACTGTCTTCCTGTCCCACCTCTGCAAAAGGTTTACAAAGTGAACTTTGCAGTCCTCTCATTTTCCTGATTGGCAGAAGCCATCCACTCTTCAATTGTATGCTGAACAGTAAGATGGTCCCTGCCCTGAGAATCTGTATCCCTGAGAAGCAGGAAGGAAACGGTCACAGAGCTCAGCCAGCCGGGTCATCAGCACACAGAACTGCTGTTTGCATCCCGAGCCAATGGAAGACTCAGGATGTAGAAGACCCCTTCTCTCATCTCATCCCCGAACTGGGCCTCCAACCATCTGACACAGAAGCACTTGTGAGGGTCCGGTAAGAGAGCGGCTTGTTTTCGGTTTGGGGGACCGCAGTGACAGTCCAGGTCCTCGTGGTGACCAGGTGTAGGCACATCCGTGTCCTTGCCATGATGCTGGTGCGCCACATGATGGGGCCAGGACAGAGGTGAGAACAGATAGAGATGGGGCCAAGATAGCTGGACACGTGGCCAGGAGAAAGGCAGTCTCCTTAGGGAAAGCAGGGGCTCACCAGGGGTGTTTGGTCAATCCAAGAAGACCCCGTTTGGGACATTTAGGATATCTCCAGGGTCACAGGCACATAGACGATGCTTGGTGCTAACAGGAAGACTTCCTTACCTGAGGTCTGCAGCTGTGGTCTCTGGGGGTCCTGGGAAAAAGACAGAAACAGGGAAAACATGTGGGAATTGTGATTTTAAAGGCTCATTGCCCTAACAGCATAAACTAAGTTAAACAGCCGAGAGGTTTGCCAAGGACGAGTGGAGGCAAATCTCAGTGAGACCTGAGCCGTTTCCCCAGGGCGCTCACCCTTTCCTGACCTCCCAGAGAGTCCTCCAAGGTCAACAGAGTGAGCTGCTCCCCCAAGCCTGGTGCTCGCCGCAGAAGCTCCCCTGAGCAGCCTGGCAGTTTTACAAAGTGGGACAGATGCTCCACCTCAGACAGGATCTCTGGGACCTCAGGGCCAGGGATGGTATCTCTTTCTCTAATTGCAGATAGAAGTCAGCTTTTGGCAGGAAACACAAACCACCAGATCAAGCTGGACAGAGAAGAGAACAACTGGACCGAGTTACTGGTCCTTCAGTGATGGCTGCCAAGATGCACGGGGCTCTGACCGGGGCAGGCACACCTGAGATGCTTGGGCACAAGAGGAAGCCCCCGCCCGTATCAGGGAGGTAAGTCTGGCCAGGGGTTGGGGCTCAGATCCTAACAGAGTCAGCCTCCTCTCCTCCCACTGCACTTCCAGCTCAACCCAACAACCTCCTATGCCCCATTAGCACCAAGACTGATCGCCTGGGAAGGAAGGGGGCTGGCGGTGGAAGGCTGGCGGCCTCTCATTTCCAAACAGAATGGTCTCGTAACTGAGCCTTGCTACTCCCACTCCATGGAGCTGGGTCTACCTCAACATTTCTGCCCTCAAGGCAGGTTCATCTGGGCCAAAGGCCCCTCAGCAGCCCTCTTAGATGCCAGCTTCAAAGCTCAGCAGCCCTGAGGATGAATGAGGCTGAAGAGGCCTGAGGTCCCCAGGGCATCTCTGCACATGTGTGGTTAGGGGTTTGTGCTCCTGAGGAAGACCGCGGAGGAAAGTGGCATTTACAGCCCTGGAGGAGGGGAGGGCGGCACTCACCTCGCAGGGCCTTGGATCGGGTGCGAGCTCGCTTGTCTTCATTTTCTAAGCTCATCTGCAAGCAAAAAACCACGACGTTAACAAGAAAACCCAGCCAGTGCCTCTGGAGTACAGAGCCATCAGGAATGTCTGGCCATTTTCTGGCTCAAGCTTTGACAGCAAAGGTGATTTTGGGCACAGAATGACAAGGATGGGCTCACAGGACAAGAAAGGCCTGGGGCCAGGAGCAGCAGGTGGGAGGGTGTAGAGAAAGGACCTTCTACAAGGCTTGGAAGTGTCCCATCAGCATGTCCCCGGCCTTGGCAAGGAGGGTACAGTGCACCGTGCCCCCAGGTTTGCACCTGCCAACAAGTGCTGAGGCATGGGCCCTGCGCCACTGAAGCCTGATGAATGTCCGTATGTTATCCAAGAGGGTCTCCTGGCCCGACACAGAGCAGCACCCACTGCTCACCTGGTCAGGCAGGTGCTGAGGCATCAGGGCAGGTCGCTCACCACAGACTCAGCCACCAGCGGCAGTGCTGGGTCGTCCAGTGGCTTCTGACCCCAACGTGTCCCCAGAGCACAGCTTCCCATGGGCCCTTTCTTCCCACTACAGCAGAAGGCTTTTTTTTTTTTTTTTTTTTTTTTTTTGAGACGGAGTCTCGCTCTGTCGCCCAGGCTGGAGTGCAGTGGCGCGATCTCGGCTCACTGCAAGCTCCGCCTCCCGGGTTCACGCCATTCTCCTGCCTCAGCCTCCCGAGTAGCTGGGACTACAGGCGCCCGCTACCACGCCCGGCTAATTTTTTGTATTTTTTTAGTAGAGACGGGGTTTCACCGTGTTAGCCAGGACGGTCTCGATCTCCTGACCTCGTGATCCGCCCGTCTCGGCCTCCCAAAGTGCTGGGATTACAGGCGTGAGCCACCGCGCCCGGCCCAGCAGAAGGCTTTAATGCCCCTCACGCACCAGGGTCATCCCGTGAGAAACAGGCAACCTGGAGCGGCCCCAGCCCATATGTTCTCCAGGCCTCGAGGGCCTGGCTGCCTTGCCTGAGCCTATCGGTGTCCCTCCCCACCTGTGATCCTTGAATCTGACCACCCTCTGTGGGGACACTGCCCACAGCATTGTCCGGCGAGGGAGTCATGGGGGAGCCCCCAGGAGGGTGACAATCACAGAAAGGACATGTGGGGCAGTGGTGAGGGTCACACACAGCATCCTTGTCCTGTGTCACTCATGACAAATCTGGGCAGGCAAGTAAATCCTACACACTCCATGCTATGCAAAACATCCTTCCCGGGGAGCCACACCAGGCGGGGGAGGGCACCTCTAGCCGGACAGGGGAGGCCCAAGAGGAGAGCACTGGACTCCACCACCATCACCTGTGGTCAGGAAGGGGAGGCAGCAAATCCACACCTGTCCCAGGCCACAGACACCAGAGCTGCCAGGGCTCTATGCGTGAGGTAGTCAAAGGGAAAGCAGGGGAGTGGAAAGAAGTAGCAGAAGAAAGGAAGAGAGGCAGCAGGAGGGGGCTCAGAAGCCCCCACGTCTTAAATGGGGCTTTTGCTCCTGAAAGCCAGAAAAAGAGACAAATGTCTACAGAACCACCTGGGAAGAAAGAAAAAGGAATTCCCCCAATTAGTAAGATGAAATTTGCAAATTGAACCTCCCCCATGCAGCAGCACTAACATACAATGATGTATGTGATTTGTTAAGGAAGAAAAATCAAAACCTGGGTAATTTATGCAACCTGCCGACTCCAGGCTGTGGAGCACAGTGCTGTGAGCCGTGCGTTTATTACAGCCTTCCAATAGAACGGAAGACAATTACTACAATTTCTATTTTTAAAGCGGAGGTTCCCCATGGACAAATGGCTCACATTTAAAGTGAATAGAGGAGCAGGTGTCACAGGGACTTCATTACATTTATGAGCCTTCAAATGTCGTCTGCTCTGAGCCCGTGTGCAATGCCTTCCGATGCAGGACGTACAATGGGACTTGTGCGGTGCCTGCACTCAGCTGAAATGCAATCTACGGCTTTATTTATTTATTTATTTATTGCCAGTTTTCCCAAGGATATTGGCAAGCATTCTGCTAGGTTAAAGCGTGCCTTGGCAATTTGGATTTCCTGCAGATAAATTATTCAAAGAGCAGAGAATAGAGAGGGTTGCAGGGATGTGTAATGGGCACTGCTTGAAAACTGTGAGCTCCCGTTGATGAAGCTGACAGCTCTGCCGCTCCTTCTGCTGAGCACCTTTTTACCATTTGCAATTTATCTGCATTGACTGGTCAATAAGCGAGAAGTTCTCTTAGGAGCGTGTAGCTTTGATTTTTAAAGGGAAAAAAACTGAACTACCGAAGAAAAAATAAACCAGGCTCTTTAATACGAGAATGAACCCGTAAGAGCTGGGTGACTTGGGACACTGGTTTCTGAGCTATTTGAAATCAGCAGTGCCGGCTGACGCGAAAGCATCTGGACAAAACCAGCACTGCTTGATTTACATCACTTTTCTTTTCGAAAGAAGTCAAAGCACTTCAGAGGTGAGTTCTCTGCTCTCCTCCTGCCGCAAGATCGGCACCACGATGTGGTAGATGGAGAGCGGGTGCTGGGGGCGGCCCTGTGCCCAGCACCACCCAGGCTCACCTTGGTGATCCCTGGACGGCAGCCCCCCAGACCTTCTGCCCCCACCACACAATGACAGCTGGGCCCTAAAGGGCAGCTCAATGATGCAAAGAAAATTAAACACTTCTCAATTTTTCATTGATTTTTAAAACACACTTTACTTGTTCCAAACACAAGCCAACCAGGTCCCTTTTTTGCGCAACCCACAGATAGCCCGGTGACCTCTCCCCTTGAGAGTGAAAAGGCAGAACGACCCCATCACCCACTCTTACTGCTGGGCCGGCAACCTTTCTCAAGAACGTCTGCTCTGTTTCTCCAAATGCCAGCTTCATTCTGCCACTGCGAGCATGTCTTGAGGCTCTAATTAATATTTCAATAGTTCTGCCTTCGATAGGAAAACCATGAAAACTGTGGGGAGGAGAATAATTCATAAATGCAAATACATTGTATATTGCCAAATTAACCCAAGAGAACTGTCTCTTTGTCCATCCATTTAACTTGCTTTCTTAGTGCCATATAAAAGCAGTCTCCTCAAAAGTGTGTTTTTGCTTTGTTCTGTTTTATATTTCTGTTTAGTAAAGTCAGGATTAATCATGTAAGCTCTTTTGAAAATATACATGGTTCTGGCTGGGCACGGTGGCTCACGTCTGTAATCCCAGCACTTTAAGAGGCTGAGGCGGGTGGATCACTTGAGGTCAGGAGTTCATGACAAGCCTGGCCAACAGGGTGAAACCCCATCTCTACTGAAAATACAAAAATTAGTTGGGTGTGGTGGTGCACGCCTGTAGTCTCAGCTACTTGGGAGGCTGAGGCAGGAGGATCACTTGAACCCAGGAGGTGGAGGTTGCAGTGAGCTGAGATTGCACCACTGCACTCCAGCCTAGGCGACAGAGTGAGACTCCGTCTCAAAAAAAAAAAAGTATACACACACACACACACACACACACACACACACACACACACACAGTTCTCACCATGACATGGTACGAAGACCAGCCCCTTTTCCAGACTCATCTGCATGCTGGCCTGGCCAAAACAGAGTGCCCTGAGTTGGGTGTTTACAAACTCAGGAACCAAAACAAGCCAATGCAGTAAGCAATCTTGAAACCTAGAGGGATCTGCGCTGAGGCTGCAGCTGTAACAAATCCACTCAGAACCCAGAAACAGGGCCGGGCATGGTGGCTCACGCCTGTAATCCCAGCACTTTGGGAGGCCGAGGCAGGCATGGTGAAACCTGACTCTACTAAAAATACAAAAATTAGCCGGGTGTGGTGGCGGCCGCCTGTAGTCCCAGCTACCTGGGAGGCTGAGGCAGGAGAATCACCTGAACCCCCGAGGCAAAGGTTGAGGTGAGCTGAGAACACGCCACTGCACTCCAGCCTGGGTGACAGAGCAAGACTCCGTCTCAAAAAAAATAAAAAATGAAAAGAACCCAGACACATAGCCAGTAACAAACCACTCGTGTCTAACCTCTAAGGGGAAATGGTAGACTCAGCTTCCAAAGATATCAGGGTTGGAGATTTTCCATGAAGCCCAACGGGCTTTGTGCCAACTTCCACCTTTGCCCCCAGAGGCTGCGTCTCCCCACTCCTTCCCGGGCCCCAGCTCAGGGTTACCCATTTCTCCTCACTCACTCACGGACTCCCTCTCTGTCTCTCTCTGCCTCTTTCATTCCTTTTTCATGCTTCCTCCCAGGACAGGGCCCTCAGAGCTGAACAGCTTCCTCCCTCAACCCCCATCACATCCCTTCTGCACCAATGGCCCAGGGCCAGTCAAAGGACAGAATCCTGGCTGAAGCCTGGCCCCAGCAGGAGGGTGTCCTGGCCCCAGCAGGAGCTGTTCTGGCCCTGAGGGGCACCAGCCTGGCATTCCAAGATTTGTACATCACCCCAGGGAGGCAGGGAGTGCTCAGGGGAGAGTTCAAGAAACAGAGAGCTCTGCTAAGGGTTGAGAGCCAGGTAGGGATGGGGAGGGTGAATGGATCAGTGACCTGAGGACATCTGGGGTGGGAGGCACTCCAGAGGTAGAGCTGGGAGCATTCTTAGGTGGCCAGCACCCTGCCTCTTCCCAGCTCCTCTCAGTCTCCACCTTGTGCCTGTTTGTTTCCCTCACAGTCCTCATCTCAATCTGAAATGAGCTCATTCATTCATGGTTGTAAGGTCATTGTCTCTCCTCCAGACAGCTGCTTAGTGCATGTCATTTAAGGATGGGTGGATGGACAGGTGGATGAATGAATAAATGGGGACAGTCAGAAACATCTCTGAAACCCTGGGGCTGGGGTGTGTGGAGAGCCGTGGTCAGAGGGGCTGCAGAGAGGCCATATGTGGGAACGCTGAGCTGGGGGGTTCCGGGCATTCTGACACCACGGGGGCCATTCACCCCAGCGCTGGGCCAGAGAAGGAGACACGGTAGTGTTTTATTTTATTTAAAATGTGTTCTGACAGCCAGCAAATCTGGAGAATTAGAATGGACTTACAACTATTCTTTAAAAATCCATAAAATTACATAGGTTATAGTGTCTCGGTGGGACGGTTGAGCCTCTTGCATAATGGTTTTCCTCCCAGAGACCTAGAAGAAGAGGAAGAGCACCTGCTGAGTCCCAGCGGACCATAGGCAGCCACTTCCCAGAAGGAAGGGGCCAGTGAAGAGTGGGGGGTGAGGAGGTGGCCAGAAACTGGCTGTCCCCTACCCTGCCTGGCTCCAGCAGTACCTCACACCACATTCAGTCTCACTTCTCTGCAGTGAGGGGAGGGGAGAAAGACAGAGCCATGGTCTGGCCTGTTTTCTTCTCTCATTTATGTACTGAGGGCAGCATCAACTTCCCTGTCACTGCTGTGAAGCCATTACAGCAGACAGTATTGTGGAAGATCCAAGCTCCCACTCAACGATCTAAGAGCAGCATTCAAGCATTTGTGTTGCTCCCCTCCCGAGTATCCCAGGAGGATCTTCTGCTGCATCCACAGCCCTCCCCTTCCCTTTCTTTGGTGCATGGACCTGCCTGCCAGCTCAGCCCACAGAACAGATATAGAAAGTCGGTGACCTCAGCACACATCCTGCTTTCCACTCTCTTGATCTCTGAGGCTAAACCATATGCCCTCACCCCTGATCCCCACTGGCAGCCATCACAGTACCCTTGGTTCCTTGCAGAGATAGTTCTGTCCTCACATTGGGTGATGTCCTGTTGCATGTCTGAAATTCTGAAATTCTCCCAACAAATTCAGCAGAATAGACCAGCCTCCTCCTTGGGGTATAGAAAGGACACCTCCATGGGGCATTATTTAACACATGTCTGAGAAGGGGTTCTCTTGACAGCTCTAAGCATGGGATACTGGCTCACTTCATTCCCAAATCAAAAATTAGAGCTACATAATGGATACCCTGATGAAGCAGCCATATCTGCAACCGTCTGTTAAAAACTCCAGCATAAATGGAATTTATACCCACCCAGGGTAGAATCCAACAACATAAAGAGAGGCCAGAAGGGCCATACCCAGTGGCAGCTCCTTCCCTTGCAGGAGCCTCTGTCCAGTAGTCCTTGCCAGAGGCACCTCCTGCCCTGGGTGGCAGGAAGAAGGGTTGGCTGAATGGCCATGCAACTGATCTTTTCCTTGATTCCATATCTCTGAATATTTGGCAAGAAGGGGGTTGAGGAGCTACCATCAGCTCCTGCATACCCCGACACACGACCACCTGACTTCTGGCAGCCCCTTCCAACCGGTCCTGAGCTGTCCACATGCCTGGTGCTGAACTCAGAGGCACGCCGCAGGCTGTGACGGTCCCATGCACAGGGTTTGTGTGTTCACTGCCCTCCCATGCTGGCTCCTCACCACCCATCTCCTGTCCGAAGCCAGCCTCTGGAAGGCTGACCCCGATGCTGCTGTGGCTGTGTGACATTCTCACACTGTGACCACGGCTTATGCCCTCTGCTGCCACCCTCCTCAGCCTCTTAGTCAGGAGATTCTACTTGCACCTGCTGCCCCACTGTCCTCTAGGCAGTCGACCCTTTCTCATCCTCTCGCCTTCTCTGGCACACTTTTCATCTTAGCTTCTCTATTCAGAGCAGTCACTCGGCCCTATCTGCAAGAAAAGAAGGGAAATGACCCTCAAACAGAGCAGTGATGAAAGAGCTGGTGATGCCACGAGAACCTGGGCACGGGTCCCTGGCTTTGTTCACAGAAGCAGCACTTTGAACAGCCATGGGTTGTCATGGTAGGTCCCAAACTCTCTGAGTTTGTCATGTCTGGGCCAGGGGGAGACAAAAGTCTTCCGACCCACCCCTGACATGGCACCAGACATTTGTAGATAACGCTGCATGCAGAGCCCCTGGCCTCAAGTCAAGTAACGTTCATGCTCACATGATCTCATGCCAGTACAGCGCTATGTGAATCCTCAGGATCTGGGGTAGGGTGAGGGGAATGAGGCCAAAAACTCAATGATCAAGATAAATAATATTTTAATTCAATATTTAGAAACATCAACATGATGCAAAAAACCCCTAATAAACAAGATACCAAAACCTTAAATAAAGACAGGATCCATATTACTGACTCTTCCTTGTGCCCCAGGCTCCAACATGGATCAGCAGAGCACTGATAATCCTGCGGGAGCCAAAATATGAGCGGAGGTGCTCAGC
This sequence comes from Homo sapiens, assembly GCF_000001405.40. NCBI lineage: Eukaryota > Metazoa > Chordata > Mammalia > Primates > Hominidae > Homo > Homo sapiens. The sequence continues at coordinate 100,278 of NT_187624.1, read as the reverse complement.
AAGTTGTCTATAACAGACCCATTAAAATGTACATTCTCGCCACCAGATTCAAAAGAAAAAGGTTGGGTTTTGAGAGTAAAACACAAGCACCCCCAAATGAAGTTCCCACTACAACTGCATAGCCCTCCTTGCCTACACCCTACGCCATCACTGTCCTTGAGCCATGCCCTGAGTCACAGCTGGATCCTTGCTGGAGAGCATCTACATGCAAAAAAGAAAAAAGAGAGGTCAGAATCGGATCTCTGGGAAGGGCTTCAGCCTAAGCCTATTGTCAGCCTCTACTTCCAGCTGTGAGGGTCACCTGACCCTGGGGACCTGGCCTCATCCAGAGAGTATTGGTGGGAAGTTCTAGAATTAGAGGGTTGGTGGTGGAGAACAGTGGCTGTAAGCACATGTGATGTCACAGTTCGGGAGTGTCCCCGAAGGGAGATCTTATACCCTGGGAAGGTATAAGAAGGGCTTGCACCATCTGCCTCCCCTTAGGAAGATCGAAATAAAACAAGGCCAACAGACTTCATAAGCTCCTGCCAGCAATCTCTGCTGTCAGATCCTGTAGGGATTCTCAGCCTGGCCAGGTAAAAGCAGGGTGAATAGAGAACAGTTGCTCAGGCCTATCACAGAGCCCAGACGTGGTCACACCTCAAAGCAAGGAAGTGAGACTCTGGGGTCACATTTTCATTTTGGTGGGTTTTTTTTGTTTGCTTGCTTGCTTGTTTTCTGAGATGGAGTCTTGCTCTGTCACCCAGGCTGGAGTGCAGTGGCACAATCTTGGGTCACTGCAACCTCTGCCTCCCAGGTTCAAGTGATTCTCCTGCCTCAGCCTCCCCAGTAGCTGGGATTACAGGCGCATGCCACCATGCCCGGCTAATTTTTGTGTTTTTAGTAAAGACGGGGTTTCACCATGTTGGCCAGGCTGGTCTTGAACTCTTGACCTCAAGTGATCCACCTGCCTCAGCCTCCCAAAGTGCTGGGATTAGAGATAAAAGCCACCATTCCTAGTCCCTTTACTTCTGAGATAAGATCTGCACCCAGGCTGGAGTGCAGTGGCACAATCTCAGCTCACTGCAGCCTTGACTTCCCAGGCTCAAGTGATCCTCCCACCTTAGCTGGGATCCTCCCCCAAATAGCTGGGATTACAGGCGCATGCCACCATGCCCGGCTAATTTTTGTGTTTTTAGTAAAGACGGGGTTTCACCATGTTGGCCAGGCTGGTCTTGAACTCTTGACCTCAAGTGATCCACCTGCCTCAGCCTCCCAAAGTGCTGGGATTACAGGTGTGAGCCACCGGGCCCAGCCTGGGGTCACATTTTAGTTTTGATCTACTCAGAGTCATTTTTCTTCCCTTAATTTTAAAGTGACCGGATCATTGCTGATCCTAGTCCCCATTTACCCTTCACCTAACCCGGACTCTGGTGAGGATCAGACCAAAAGTCGCCTCCATGCTTCATGCCTGCAGCTGAAGAGAGGCTTTGTGCAGGCAGCCATGGGGTGGGGCCCTACGACAGGGGCTGCCCTCTCACGTCTCACCTTGCAGTGTCTGCCCAGGTGTCTTGAGGTCCTGCAGCTGCTGGCCTTGCCTCCGTGTGTCCACCTCTGATTTAACAGCTCACCTCGGAACTCATTTTCTGAGGGTTTAAAAAGGTTCAAGGTCAGAAAAGGAAAGCTTGGTGGGTGCCAGCCGTGCTGGCTCAAGGGGAGAAAGTGAGAAACTTGAGGCACTTTTTTAACATCATATATTCAATGCCTATTTCCTGGAATCCACCGGAGAAACAGACAAGGTCATGGCTCCATGGCTGCTTCAGGAACAAGAGACAATTTCTCTCTGACTTGGGGCCTCCCTGGAGTCTTCCTGCAGTCCCCTGCACTGTTGTCCCAGCTCTAGGTGTTGGTTCCCACTGACAACCACGGCCAGCAGAGTGCTGGGACAAGGCAGCTGAGAGCCACCTTGAGAAAACTTGGCATGTCACCCCTCCAACTTTGAAAATGAGCTGACTAATGAGTAATTATTCGCATTACAACCAGATCCTTCTGCCCCTCAAAAGAATGCACAGTACATATGCATTTGAAAAAGAAGATTGTTTTGCACGACTTCTCTGGAGCCCATTGATTGAAGAAAGTGAGATCCACCCATGGTCTCAAATCAGCTTTGCCTCCCGCAGGATCCCGGGGGCCCCAGCATGCTCTTTGCCCTGGTTTCCAGCATCTTTTGTCACCCTGTGTTTCTGCCTCTCTCCAGGGCAATGCCTCCAGTTAATATTTAATTCCTCACATAAATTCCCATGTCTGAGCAGAGGCTGAACGCATCAGCTGGACATGACAAAGAAACGCATTGTGTACCTATTCCCTGCACGTCACTCCCCGTTTCCATGACAACCTGCTTTCTACATAACTGCAGCATTTCAAAGGAAGGTCATTAAGTAACCAACAATGAAACAGGAAATGAATATTCTCGTGTTGGGCCCTGGCTTTGCCTTGGAAGTGAGTTTGGATTCTGCCGAAGGCACGCTATTCCCACCCACTTTCTTTCTTTTCCTCGTGTTTTTGATGTGCATCCCCAAATGCAATTCTTCTCTAGGGTTCTGGCCACTCCTGGCCCCAGGCAGCCCTGTGCCTCTGGCCACAGCACCCTCTTCTTATCTGGAAATGCTTCCATCCCATTAAAGGGCTTCGGATTACCTTCCAGAGCATAAACACAGAGGAAAGCAGATTTGGTAGTCAAGGAGACAGCCTAATACGAGGTCTACAGAGGAACGAATAAAACCACTCAGATTCGGCACCTACTGTGTGCACCTACTCTGTGCCTCCCCTCATTGAGCTGTAAGTCACCCGCAGGCCGTCGCTGAGATGACAGGGCTCCCACCGCAGGCTCCGGTGCCTGGACTAGTGAGGAGGGAGCTGCGGGAGCTTCCCTATCACCCAAGATCTCTAGGCCTCCTGGGTTCCCATCTGCCACTGGTCATCTGCACTGAGCCGGTGTGAGCGGCCTCTAACTGGGGCCCACCTGCCCACCAGGTAATCCAATTCTCAACTCTGTGACAGGGATGTGGGGTATAGGGAGGAAAAGCATATTGGAAGATTCCGTAAGTGAATCGACAAGAATCGTATCAGCCGGGGAGTGTGCTTCACACTTTGAAGATGGGGCGTGGGGTCCTCTGTGTGTCTCTTTTCTTATGTGTCAACAGAAGCTGAGAGACAAGGCCCCAAAGTGCACAGGGTTCACTTTCTGAGTATCTATCCCAGGAGACAAGATGCTGCAGAAACCTGCTCACTGGGCTGATTGGCAAGGCTCAAGCAGAATTCCTTGTTACCATTACATATGTATATATGCAAGACAACTGGGGCATGTCTGGCTGACAGCTGGAGGGAAGGACATAAGGTCTGTGTGCTCCAGAGGAGACGCTGCCTCTCCCGAGTGCGACTCCCCTGAGTTCTGCGCTGAGTCTCTCCTGCTTCTCAGAGAAGTCATGTGGACATGAACTGCAAGAGTCTCTGCAAAGGGACCTCCAGTTTTGTTTGGTGGGAGATAACCAGCTCACTGGGGCTTCTCCACCCACACCCACCCATGGGAGTCTGGAAATACAGCCCTGTGGAATTCTTCGTTGCCCACATCCCTTACACTCCTGTCCCTAGGTCAGTCAGCCCTGGGCTCTGAAGTCCTGAGGCCCTGAGGCCCCACATCTGCTCAGGCAGAGCACTAGCATCCCGGGGATCAACTGCTCCTCCAAAGAGCCACTCCTGCCTCCCTGAGGCAGCAAAGCCGCTGAGCTTCTCTGGGCAAAAGAGCAGAATGGCACCCGGTGAAACCTGTGCACCATACCCCTGGGTACAGAGCACACAAGTAACCACAAACCCCCAAGCGTAGACCCTCCTTTACAAGGGCCTGAGGACCCGGCTCAACCTTGACATGATAGCCTCCCTCTCCTAGGAAATGTCTTGGCAGCAAACGGCTATCACTACTAGAAGCCCAGTAAGGTATGCCAGTTCTTCTCCTGTGGCCCTCTTGGTCCCCTACTGGGGCCTGTGTATGGCCAAACCCTGCCCCATGGGCTCAGTAGGCTCCACCCCAGACAAAGCTCTCCTGTCTGTAGGCTCTGCTCAATCAGCATCTCTAGCAGCACATTAAGTCCCCATGCACCCAAACAACATGCCGGGGCCACGTGCCACAGGAAAACTCTCCACGGAAACGTGGATGCCGGGGCCACAGGCTACAGGAAAAGTCTCCACGGAAACGTGGATGCCGGGGCCACGTGCCACAGGAAAACTCTCCACAGAAACGTGGATGCCGGGGCCACGTGCCACAGGAAAACTCTCCACGGAAACGTGGATGCCGGGGCCACAGGCTACAGGAAAACTCTCCACGGAAACGTGGATGCCGGAGCCACGTGCTACAGGAAAACTCTCCACGGAAACATGGATGCCGGGGCCACAGGCTACAGGAAAAGTCTCCATGGAAACGTGGATGCCGGGGCCACGGGCTACAGGAAAAGTCTCCACGGAAACGTGGATGCCGGGGCCATGGGCTACAGGAAAACTCTCCACGGAAACGTGGATGCCGGGGCCACGTGCCACAGGAAAACTCTCCACGGAAACATGGATGCCGGGGCCACGGGCTACAGGAAAAGTCTCCACGGAAACGTGGATGCCGGGGCCACGGGCTACAGGAAATCTCTCCACGGAAACGTGGATGCCGGGGCCACAGGCTACAGGAAAACTCTCCACGGAAACGTGGATGCCGGAGCCACGTGCTACAGGAAAACTCTCCACGGAAACATGGATGCCGGGGCCACGGGCTACAGGAAAAGTCTCCACGGAAACGTGGATGCCGGAGCCACGTGCTACAGGAAACTCTCCACGGAAACGTGGATGCCGGGGCCACAGGCTACAGGAAAAGTCTCCACGGAAACGTGGATGCCGGGGCCACGGGCTACAGGAAATCTCTCCACGGAAACGTGGAGGTGTTCCATAAAGACGCCCTTCCAGAAGTCATGCTGCTCCATGGACACTCTGTGGTGGGAACAAGGGTCCCCAAAGCTCACACAGGGCACTGCCACCAACTCAGACCTGAGCAGCAGGTCACTACCCTCTCTGAGACTTAAGTCCTTCACCCACAAAGTGGGAGGGGAAGAATTATTTGGAGATGGAGAGACATGTGTGGACGGAGCCTGGAAGTGAACCCATGAGGACGTCAGTGCTGTTGTCATCACCATGGCCTTTCTTGTCAGGAATCTGAAGTGAAGTGGAGGTTTTCATCCAGACGAGCCTGTTCTCTTGGGTTATTGAGTTTCTAGTGAGTTAATCTGAATCCCTGCTCGTGGATGCGAATGGGAAACGGAACATCAGAGACCGCTCCATCCTGAGCACGTCTCCTGGAAAACAAGCCTCTCGGGATCAGCTCCCGGCACCCAGAGGGCGGCGCTGGCTGGGACCCCTCTCTAGGGACCCGGCATCTTTGCACCTGGAGTCCTGCCTGCTCAAGGTAACCCCCACATCTGTCCCCATGGTGGCCCCACACTCACTTTTATGGGGCTCTTGTGGGCAGAAAAACTCAGGAAACAAACAGGGCCTCCTCAGCTGAGATTGATGCACAAAGGTCCAGAGGAGAGGGAACCACCCCTCACTGGCCAGAGACTCCAACACAGGCCAGGGAGATGTGCAGTGCTGAGCTGTAGCCCCCCGTCTGTCTTCTCCTAATGAAGCCCTCTTTTTCCAACTCAGCAGCACTGCAAACTGGAGACCAGCCTGACCCAGGCCCCAGACAGGACGCTTCCACTGAGAGCCAGTGCTCTGCTGGGCTCTTCCCAGGAAGTGCTGCTGGCCTACCCCAAGGTTTCCTTCTGTCGTCATGGCAAGGAGAGCCCCCTTGTCCCAGAGCTAACACCCCAGCTGCCGGCTGACCCACTGCCAGCACACACTTCCTCCTTGCACTGGCACTGTGGCCACTCCACGCACAACCCCATGGGGGACCCCCTGCGGGCGACCGTGGCTGTTTTCATGCTGGCTCGGTAGCCTGGAATCTGGCCTGAGCCCACCTGCCCCCATGGTGCATCCCCTGGGCCTCCGGATGGGAGTCCCTGTGGCAGTTAGCTCTGATCCACTCCAGCCCTGGCAACCTGACCCCCTTCCACTGTGTAAAACCTCCCCACTCTGAAAACAAGAACAAAATAACAGGAAGACTGAGTGAGAGGCCAGGTGGTAAGTGTGGAAAGCCACATGTTTTCAGTCTTCACTAGGTTTTGCATCTCTGGTAACTAGGGCTGCCTTTGGGGCCAGGAGCTGTTACCACCTGCCCCTCAGCAAAGAGGGGAAGGGTAGTCACTTGAGAGGAGCCCACACCTCCATTCTCCCATGCACCCCCTCAGCCCTCCTCCGTCTCCAGCACAGGAGATGGGGTCTTGCCTCCCTGCTGAGCCAGCTTGTCCATCTGGACTTTATACCCACCTCCTTCCCACTGTCAATGAAAGTTCCCAGGAATATCAACTCTTCCCTCCATTCTTCTGGAATATTGAACTACTCTTCCCAACTCTTCAACTGGCTTGAGGCATCCATGTTTAAAAACACAGTCTCTTTGGACCTCACGCCCCTGCCCAGCCCCCTCTCCATCTCCTCCTGCTTCATAACTACGCTTCACTCCCCACCACAGTTGGCCTCCACCCACATCCCTCTACTGGAACAACAGGCGGCTTCATGTTCACAGGGCACGTGAGGGCCCACTAGACATCACTGCGGTGCGTGTCTGTTCACCCCCTTCTGTGGCAAACACTCGCCCCTGACCTTGTCGGTCACCTGTACAGGCTCCTCCTGGCCACCCGGCCACCCCATGTCAGATGGCTTCTCCTTTTTGCTTCCTCGCTGCCCACAATATCTGCTTCTTACGTGACGTGGGGTTTTCCTCTTCCCCTCTTCAGTCATCAGCTCCTCAAGCCAGAACCCTGAGGGTCATCCTTGGCCCCAAATCCTGCCAATGTTATTTTCTAAATCTCACCAGAATCTGACCATTTCTGACCTCTCTGGCTGTGTTGTTTTGTTCTGTTTGCAAAAACTGACAAACTCATTCTAAAAATTTGTATGGCAATTCAAGGAATATAGACTAGTCAAAACAATTCTGAAAAAGAGCAAAGTTGGACGACACACTTCTCAGTTTCCAAACTTACTACAAAGCTGCAGTAATCAAGGCAATGTGTTACTAGCATCAGGACGGGCATATGGATAAGTGGGACATAATTGAGAGTCCAGAAGTAACCCCCTCTATTAATGATCAATTGATTTTTGACAATGGCACAAAAACAATTTAATGGGAAAAAAACTGTCTTTTCAACAAACGTGCCAGGACAACTAGATATCAAAAAAAAAAATGAAGTTGGACCTCTCTCAAAAATTAGCTCGCACTGGATCACATATGTAAATGTAAGAACCAAAACTCCTAGAAAACACCGCGGTAAATCTTTCCGACTCTGGGTTCAGCAATGGTTTCTTAGCTATGACAACAACACTACAAGCCATTAAAGAAAAAAAGTAATATATTGGACTTCAACAAGGTTTAAAACTTTCGGAGTTAAAATAACACTGTCGGCCGGGAGCAGTGGCTCACGGCTGTAATCCCAACACTTTGGGAGACTGAGGCAAGCAGATCACTTGAGGTCAGGGGTTCGAGACCAGCCTGGCCAGCATGGTGAAGCCCCGTCTCTACTGAAAATACAAAATTAGCTGGGTATGGCGGTGCGTGTCTGTAATCCCAGCTACTTAGGAGGCTGAGGCAGGAGAATCACTTGAACCTGGGAGGTGGAGGTTGCAGTGAGCCAAGATCATGCGACTGCACTCTAGCCTGCGTGACAGAGCAAGACTCTGTCTCAAAAATAAATAAATGAATAACACTATCAATATGGTGAAAAGACAACCCAAAGACTGGGAGAAAATATTTGCAAATCGTAAATCTGATAAAGAGCTTGTATTTGGAAAAAAGAACTCTCATAACTCATAATAAGACAAATAACCCAATTTTAGAATGAGCAGAGGACTTGAACAGACATTTCTCCAAAGATAACACGGGAATGGCCAATAAGCACATGAAGAGATGCCCAACAGCTAGTAATCCAGGAAATGCAAATCAAAACCACACTCAGATACCATTGCACTAAAATGGCTGTAATGTTAAAGATAAACAGATAGTAACAAGTGTTGGCAAGAACCCTCATAGAATGCTGATGCGAATGTAAAATAGCACAATCACTTGGAAAATGGCATGGCAGTTACTCAAAATGTTCAACATAGAGTTACATGACTCAGGAATTCCACTCTAGATATTTGCCCAAGAGAAATAAAAACATATGTCACATAAAGGCTTGTACACAACTATTCATAGCAGCTTTATTCATACTAGCCAAAAAGTGGAAAAACCCAAATGTCCATCAACTGCTGAATGGGTGATACGAAATACAGTGGCACAGTCTTTGGCAATAAAAAGGAATGAAGTTGCTTATACATGCAACAATGTGGGTGAATCTCAAAAACTTCGTGTTCAGTGAAAGAGGCCAGGGACAAAAGACCACATATTGAACAATTCCATATTTGTGAAATGGCCAGAACAGGCAAATTCGTAGAGATAGAAAGTAGATTCGTGGTTGCCTAGGACTGGTGGAGGAGAAAATGGAGAACGACTGTGAACGGGCATGGGGTTTCTTTCTGGGGTGATCAAAACGGTCTAAACTTGGGCTGTGGTGATAGATGTACAACCCTACACGTACGCTAAAACCACTGAATTGTATATTTTTAATAGGTGAATTCTGTGATGTGCACATTACATTCCAATAACGCTGTTTTTAAACAGTGGCATGTGGATGGTCAGTGAGACACTCTGGGGACTCTTGCCTAGGGCAGGAGGTCCCAGCAAGTCCCCTTTGGTTCTCCAGACTGGGTTCTGTGAGCCTGTGTCCTGGGCCAGCCTCTGGACCGCTGCGCCTCAACCCCAAACTGGACCACCTTGATGCCTATCACTCCCTGCTCCTGGAGGCCAGGGAGGGCTGGGTCCAGGGATACAACAGGAGGATGGGTCATGCGAGTGACACGAGACAGGCCACGGAGGTCAGAGTGAGAGCTCTTGGGTCCACTTCACCCTCCCACTCCCCAGAGCAGTTAGAGCTGTACTCATTCAACAGGGCCAAAGGAAGGCGACCTGCCTCTGCACAGCCAGGAGGCATCGGGACCCAGAACGGCCCAAGCTCACCTCCCACCTCGGCCAGTGCTATGTCAGGATGTGTCCACAGCTATCCATGCAGCTGAGCCGATGGCCAGGGCCAATCCCACCTGGTAGCTAACCCAGCAGCAACAGCCCCCCATTCTGCCTGTGCGTGCGTATTGGCTGGGCCTGCCACGCCCTGGGACACCGTGGCTGCTCCAGCCGCCACTTCCCTGGAGAGGGCAGGCCTTCTTAGCTTTCATCATACCTCATGCAGAGTGAAACTGAAAAGCTGGGCCCAGGGTTGAGTATAAACTTACATCTTGCCATTCGAAAGGAAAAAAAACAAAAAACAAAAAACTTTTTTCCTGCTTCTCCTCTCAATCCCTCATTTATCCCCTTCTTGCTGCTACTTGGGTTTAAATCAGAGCCTGGCAAGGCAGCAAGAAAACGGTTAGAATAAAAATTTAGAAACAATTTAAGGCCCACACGAAACCAGTCACAGGTCACAGTAGACTCCTGGGGGACCACAGCCCAGGATTCCTCCCTCTAGTCCCAAAGAGCCTCTGACACCCAAGGGGACACCCCTGAGGTCCAGGCTACACCCCCAGACATAGGAAGGTAAGGCCCTAGGAGGCAAACAGACTCACATCCATGTCACATGGCTCCTGGAGGAGGCAGCAGAAATACTAGGTCCAGCATCTGCCTCTCAAAGTTCAAAGCGAGGTCCCCACCGCAGTCTGAGAACTGCCAGGGTGCTCAATAATGGCTGTTCCTGGGACCTTTCCTGGCCTGTGGGAGGAACCTGCACTGGATGAGCAAATGAGTGTTTCAGGAGGCTCCTTCAGGCTCCCTCGACTAACAGTGTGGGCAGCGGTTAGAGCAGGAACAAGGACAAACCAGGAGGCAGGACACAGACTCTCCAGACGCATGTGGACAGGGCAGATATGGCCCAGCCCAGACAGTGACAGGAGGACTTGTTTGGGAAGGCTTAATACCATTGTGTCCATCCTCCCCAACTTGGAAATAAATTGTAAAACCAAAATGAAAAATTCAACAGAAGACTTGGGAGATAGAGTCAAAGAAATATACTAGGAAAGTGAACAAAAGGACGAAGAGATAGCAGAGACGGAGGAAACGCTGAGTGAGGACTGACACCCGATTTGGGAGTTCCAGAAAGAGAGAATTAAGAAAATGGGAAGGAAAAGTGTAAGTTAAATAATAAAAAAAATTTTCCGAGAACTAAAGGAAATTATATTTTTAGATTAAAAAGCCCATTAAGTGCCCATAATCGTGAATAAAAAGAGACCCACATCCAACCAAGCCCGGCACTATAAAATTTTAAAACACCAGGAATAGAAAAAAGACCCTAAAAGCTTTTGAAGTGGGAAAAAGTCACAAACAAAACCGATAACTAGAATAGGATCACATTGCTCCAGAGCAGCATTCACAGACAGTAGAGAAAGCCTCTTCCCAATTTCAAGGGAGTTGACATTCAACTTCAGGGCATGTCCTCTATGCCCAGGCAAAACACTGATCACAGGAAGTAGAAGAATAAAAAAATCCAGATATGCACAGCCTCAAAAACTGAGCATTGAACCGCGAGTAAGGGAAGCGAGGGCAGGGAGGTGCATGTGGCAGGGGTGGTGATCACTGTCTACAAGAAAAACAAACCACAAAATCTTGTATGAGACATAACACTGGTAAACTGTTTGGTCCACCAGCGAAACACTGAAGATAAAGAAAGATAACGCTCAACGCTACAAAGGAAGCTAGCTGGTCACTGTGAGCACAAGTGTCCGAAAAGGTCCAGTTCTGGAGCCACAGGGAGGCCAATCAGCCCATTATACTTGGATTGTCCTGGCCCACACCCTGTGAACCCCAAAGTCCTGGGCAACTGGCCAGTGAGGCTCCCCAGCACCAGAGCCCTTGCAGGGGAGAAGGTGTCCCCACCAAGGCCTAGAACAGAGGGTGGGGCTGTCCTGTGGCGACCCAGAGGTTGGCCTGCAGAGAGGGGCTCAGCAAGGGGTCAGCACTTGTGTGGAGTAAGGAGGGTGCTGGTATGGGGAAAGAGGTGGATCAAAGAAGTAAACACATTAAAGATAATGGAAACCAGCTTTCTCACTGTTGGAAGAGGACGTTATGCCTACGGAAAGGCAGAACCTTAGAATGAACCCTGTGTGGGAATTGGAATCAGAGGTTATCAATATGAACTTGTGTTTTTCAATAAACATCGATAGATGGAGAAGTAAATACAGACCTAGGTGAAAAAGGGTGTGTGTGTGGCGTGTGTCTGTAACTGTGTGTGTGTAGCATGTGTGTATAACTGTATAGAGCATGCATGTAACTGTGTAGCATGTAACTGTGTGTAGCGTGTGTGTAGCATGTATAACTGTGTGTAGCGTGTGTGTAGCATGTACCTGTGTGTAGCATGTGTGTGTAACTGCGTGTGGTGTGTAACTGTGTGTGACTGTGTGGCATGTAACTGCATGTAGCATGTGTGTAGCGTGTGTGGCGTATGTGTGTAACTGTGTGTAGCATGTGAGTGTGTAACTGTGTGCAAATGTGTAACTGTGTGTGTAGCATGTGTGTATAACTGTATAGAGCATGCATGTAACTGTGTAGCGTGTGTGTAACTGTGTGTAGCCTGTGTGTAGTATGTGTGTGTAACTGTGTGTGTGTAGCATTGTGTAACTGTGTGTAGCATGTGAGTATGTGTGTGTACACACATACGTCTTCCCAGCCATGTCCACTAGAGGCCCAACACCCAGGTCTCAGGCTAACACCATTTTCTAATAAAAGGAACCAGAGTTCCAGGCCCCAAGCAGGAAAGGCAAGAACAAGAAAGGACAGGGGAGCTGGACCGAGGCTGCAGGAGCCTCTGTACTGGGCTTCCACTGGTCAATCAGGGACAATCTGAGCATCCAAAGAAGGCTTTCAGCCCATGGGGTAAAACAGGAAACAACGAGTCTATAGAGATATCCATCAAAGTTAAGTGATGGTTTGTTGAGGATGGAGATATTTCCATAGTTTCAAAGTACCTTCCCCCCAAATATTTATTAATTGCAAAGGGAAAATGACTGGCATTTCCCTCTGGCATAGAGGTGCTGGGATGCCCCATCTAATCCAGTGACCAAGTCAACATTATGAGTTAAGGGACAAATCAGCATCAGGTGAAGGGAGAACCTCCCACTCAGGTGTTCCTGCATCACGGGCAACACTGGACAAACCCACGTTGAAGGGCATCCCACCGAATAACGGCTCAGTGCTCCCACGTTGAAGGGCATCCCACCGAATAATGGCTCAGTGCTCCCACGTTGAAGGGTATCTCACCGAATAACGGCTCAGTGCTCCCACGTTGAAGGGTATCCCACTGAATAACAGCTCAGTGCTCCCACCTTGAAGGGTATCTCACCAAATAACGGCTCAGTGCTCCCACGTTGAAGGGTATCCCACTGAATAACGGCTCAGTGCTCCCACCTTGAAGGGTATCTCACCGAATAACGGCTCAGTGCTCCCACGTTGAAGGGTATCTCACCGAATAACGGCTCAGTGCTCCCACGTTGAAGGGTATCCCACTGAATAACGGCTCAGTGCTCCCACGTTGAAGGGCATCCCACTGAATAACGGCTTAGTGCTCCCACGTTGAAGGGTATCCCACCGAATAACGGCTCAGTGCTCCCACGTTGAAGGGCATCCCACCAAATAACGGCTCAGTGCTCCCACGTTGAAGGGCATCCCACCGAATAACGGCTCAGTGCTCCCACGTTGAAGGGTATCTCACCGAATAACGGCTCAGTGCTCCCACGTTGAAGGGTATCCCACCGAATAACGGCTCAGTGCTCCCACGTTGAAGGGCATCCCACCGAATAACGGCTCAGTGCTCCCACGTTGAAGGGTATCTCACCGAATAACGGCTCAGTGCTGCCACGTTGAAGGGTATCCCACCGAATAACGGCTCAGTGCTCCCACGTTGAAGGGTATCCCACCGAATAACGGCTCAGTGCTCCCACGTTGAAGGGTATCCCACTGAATAACGGCTCAGCGCTCTTCCAAAAGCACAAGGTCACGAAAGGCGAGGAGTGCTAAAAACGACTTCAGACGAACGAGACACCAGGACCACGCACAGCACGTGGTTCTGAACCCACCCCTGAATGGGTCTGAGGACCAGATGGCCGAGAAGGTGAGGGTGGAGCAGTGGGAGAGCGGCCTCTCTGCTGGAAACACCCATGCAAGTGTCCTTGGTGATGGCATCGCATCAGCAACACGCTCTCAAACGCTCAGGAGAAACAGCTTGGCCCTTTACTTGAAACGTTTCTGTGGCTTTGAGATTGTTTCAAAATGTATTTTTGAAAATAATGAGGATGGGGGACTGTGATTTAAGTAACCAGTGGTCAGTGGAGGCCTCTGTGAAGAGAGAAGCTGGGACCAAGGAGGATCCTGAGGTGCCTCCTCCGGGCAGGACGCTCCACCTCCCTCTGTCCCAGGACTGCTCCTGGAAGACCCTGAAGTCCATGATGTGCTCAGCCAAGTCTGCTTCCAAAGCTGGCTGGGCAGGTGCCGGCCCCAGCCCCACCCAGGGTTTCTCTCAGGGATGGCTGGCTTTGTTCCTGGGGGCATCCTGGAAAGCCCAGGGGACCAGGCACCTGAGAAAGTCTGACAAGCTTGGAAATTTCCATGAAGAAGGTGGAACCCATGCCCTAGAAACTGCGGGTCCCATGGGGCTGAGGGGAAGGTGGAACAGGACTCCCTCAGCCCACACAGGACCCCCCACATTTGCCCCTGCCCCCAGCCTTTCCCAGCAGCGGGTCCAAAACAGGCCCACTAGCTCCGGAGAGGGGTACCCTCTTGTCCCTGCCCTGGAGAGGGGTGCCCTCTTGTCCCCGCCCCCGGAGAGGGGTGCCCTCATGTCCCCACCCCTGGAGAGGGGTGCCCTCTTGTCCCCACCCTGGAGAGGGGTGCCCTCTTGTCCCCGCCCCGAGGGCCTCTTCCTCTCCACACCCTGGGGGGCCACAGTCACAGGGGCTTCTGCTCCGGGGTTTGGGGCATCTGGAGGAAACACTGGCAGGAAACACAAATGGGACCGAGGGGAAAATGAGGGCAAGTTTTGCTCTTTTTCTTTCCTTTTTTTTTTTCCTCTCTGGAATCCAGAGAGAAGTAAAATGAAGACTTGCTGAGTGGCGCAAAGGCAGACCAGCTTTTGCTGAGTTTAGGTGAAAATGAGAGAAGGGAGAGGTGGGGGCAGGGAGTTGGCAATTCTATAGCTTTGCACATTTCTCTCATTATTTTGCTTCTAAATCAGCCTCGCTGGTACTTTCTCTATTCAATAAAAGCCAAATGCAAGCCATGTCCTCTAATCTCTCCAACAGCAGCTCACTGCTGAGAAAATAATACAGATGTAACTTCCAGCATCATACACTTTCTTTTCCATTTATATGCAAATAGTGACCTTTCACCCAGGCTGTCTCAAAGAAGTGTTTCCTTAAAAATGCAAATAGCATGTTGCAGGCAGTTACTGTGGCTGAGTCTTTCTTATATTATTATCATTATTTCTTTTAACCTTACCAACGCTGTAAAAACAACAGCTAAACTGCTCTGCAGTAATAATGACTTTCCAAACCAAATCACAGGACGGGCTCTCCAGGCGGCCTGTCATCCCCGGCTGCCAACAGGGGAGGAGTGTGCCCAGCCCAGGGCAGGCAGTGTGCTGGGAGGGACACCAATAGTGTCACATTCATCCCTCCCGGGGTGCCTGGGAGAGCAGTTCAGCCATGTGACCAGGCCTCACACCCAGGCCGGGTGCCCGGAACCCAGGCGGCACCAAGGAAACCACTCCACACTGCTCCACGCAGACACACACAGCTTTTCCTTCTGGGGCGAGAACATCCTCAGCTCCAAGTGGGGTTCAATGCTGTGACCCCAGTCCAGCACATTCGCCCCACACCCAGGACAAGGAACCCAGAGTGGGGACCTCCAGAAATAGGTGGCTCCCAAGAGGCTACCAGGGAGCAGGAAAGATGCTAGAAGAGGAGAAGCCAGGGAGGGGAAATGGACACAACTACAGGGAAAGATGCTGCAGGAGAAGCCAGGGAGGGGAAATGGACACAACTACAGGGAAAGATGCTGCAGGAGAAGCCAGGGAGGGGAAATGGACACAACTACAGGGAAAGATGCTGCAGGAGGAGAAGCCAGGGAGGGGGAATGGACACAACTACAGGGAAAGATGCTGCAGGAGGAGAAGCCAGGGAGGGGAAATGGACACAACTACAGGGAAAGATGCTGCAGGAGGAGACGCCAGGGAGGGGGAATGGACACAACTACAGGGAAAGATGCTACAGGAGAAGCCAGGGAGGGGAAATGGACACAACTACAGGGAAAGATGCTGCAGGAGAAGCCAGGGAGGGGAAATGGACACAACTACAGGGAAAGATGCTGCAGGAGGAGACGCCAGGGAGGGGGAATGGACACAACTACAGGGAAAGATGCTACAGGAGAAGCCAGGGAGGGGAAATGGACACAACTACAGGGAAAGATGCTGCAGGAGAAGCCAGGGAGGGGAAATGGACACAACTAGGAAAGATGCTGCAGGAGAAGCCAGGGAGGGGAAATGGACACAACTACAGGGAAAGATGCTACAGGAGAAGCCAGGGAGGGGAAATGGACACAACTACAGGGAAAGATGCTGCAGGAGAAGCCAGGGAGGGGAAATGGACACAACTACAGGGAAAGATGCTGCAGGAGAAGCCAGGGAGGGGAAATGGACACAACTAGGAAAGATGCTACAGGAGAAGCCAGGGAGGGGAAATGGACACAACTAGGAAAGATGCTACAGGAGAAGCCAGGGAGGGGGAATGGACACAACTACAGGGAAAGATGCTGCAGGAGGAGAAGCCAGGGAGGGGAAATGGACACAACTAGGAAAGATGCTACAGGAGAAGCCAGGGAGGGGAAATGGACACAACTACAGGGAAAGATGCTGCAGGAGGAGACGCCAGGGAGGGGAAATGGACACAACTACAGGGAAAGATGCTGCAGGAGGAGAAGTCAGGGAGGGGGAATGGACACAACTACAGGGAAAGATGCTACAGGAGAAGCCAGGGAGGGGAAATGGACACAACTACAGGGAAAGATGCTGCAGGAGAAGCCAGGGAGGGGAAATGGACACAACTAGGAAAGATGCTACAGGAGAAGCCAGGGAGGGGAAATGGACACAACTACAGGGAAAGATGCTGCAGGAGAAGCCAGGGAGGGGAAATGGACACAACTACAGGGAAAGATGCTGCAGGAGAAGCCAGGGAGGGGGAATGGACACAACTACAGGGAAAGATGCTGCAGGAGGAGACGCCAGGGAGGGGGAATGGACACAACTACAGGGAAAGATGCTACAGGAGAAGCCAGGGAGGGGAAATGGACACAACTACAGGGAAAGATGCTGCAGGAGAAGCCAGGGAGGGGAAATGGACACAACTACAGGGAAAGATGCTACAGGAGAAGCCAGGGAGGGGAAATGGACACAACTACAGGGAAAGATGCTGCAGGAGAAGCCAGGGAGGGGAAATGGACACAACTACAGGGAAAGATGCTGCAGGAGAAGCCAGGGAGGGGAAATGGACACAACTACAGGGAAAGATGCTACAGGAGAAGCCAGGGAGGGGAAATGGACACAACTACAGGGAAAGATGCTGCAGGAGAAGCCAGGGAGGGGAAATGGACACAACTACAGGGAAAGATGCTGCAGGAGAAGCCAGGGAGGGGAAATGGACACAACTAGGAAAGATGCTACAGGAGAAGCCAGGGAGGGGAAATGGACACAACTAGGAAAGATGCTACAGGAGAAGCCAGGGAGGGGGAATGGACACAACTACAGGGAAAGATGCTGCAGGAGGAGAAGCCAGGGAGGGGAAATGGACACAACTAGGAAAGATGCTACAGGAGAAGCCAGGGAGGGGAAATGGACACAACTACAGGGAAAGATGCTGCAGGAGGAGACGCCAGGGAGGGGAAATGGACACAACTACAGGGAAAGATGCTGCAGGAGGAGAAGTCAGGGAGGGGGAATGGACACAACTACAGGGAAAGATGCTACAGGAGAAGCCAGGGAGGGGAAATGGACACAACTACAGGGAAAGATGCTGCAGGAGAAGCCAGGGAGGGGAAATGGACACAACTACAGGGAAAGATGCTGCAGGAGAAGCCAGGGAGGGGAAATGGACACAACTACAGGGAAAGATGCTGCAGGAGAAGCCAGGGAGGGGAAATGGACACAACTAGGAAAGATGCTACAGGAGAAGCCAGGGAGGGGAAATGGACACAACTAGGAAAGATGCTACAGGAGAAGCCAGGGAGGGGGAATGGACACAACTACAGGGAAAGATGCTGCAGGAGGAGAAGCCAGGGAGGGGAAATGGACACAACTAGGAAAGATGCTACAGGAGAAGCCAGGGAGGGGAAATGGACACAACTACAGGGAAAGATGCTGCAGGAGAAGCCAGGGAGGGGAAATGGACACAACTAGGAAAGATGCTACAGGAGAAGCCAGGGAGGGGGAATGGACACAACTACAGGGAAAGATGCTACAGGAGAAGCCAGGGAGGGGAAATGGACACAACTACAGGGAAAGATGCTGCAGGAGAAGCCAGGGAGGGGAAATGGACACAACTACAGGGAAAGATGCTGCAGGAGAAGCCAGGGAGGGGAAATGGACACAACTACAGGGAAAGATGCTGCAGGAGAAGCCAGGGAGGGGAAATGGACACAACTACAGGGAAGGATGCTGCAGGAGGAGAAGTCAGGGAGGGGAAATGGACACAACTACAAGGAAAGATGCTGCAGGAGGAGAAGCCAGGGAGGGGAAATGGACACAACTACAAGGAAAGATGCTGCAGGAGGAGAAGTCAGGGAGGGGAAATGGACACAACTAGGAAAGATGCTGCAGGAGGAGAAGTCAGGGAGGGGAAATGGACACAACTAAAGGGAAGGATGCTGCAGGAGGAGAAGTCAGGGAGGGGAAATGGACACAACTAAAGGGAAGGATGCTGCAGGAGGAGAAGTCAGGGAGGGGAAATGGACACAACTACAGGCACTGGGGTATGGGCTCCCTCCTGCTCCCCTGACCATCTCTACTGACTAGGCCAGGCCACAGGCTGGGGAGAAGCCCACAAAAGACACCCACTCTATCAGCCGCACCTGTCCAACAGCCCACCTCTGTCTGTGACTGCTGCCTCCGAGGGCTGCTTGAGGCCTGACCCTCCCACGGTGCTCAGGAGGGGAGGGAAATTGGCCAGGCTGACCCATGGGCCTTGCCTCACTGGGCCACCATCAGAGACACTTTTTCCAATCAGGCACAACTGGACTCGCCTGCCTGAATCCTGGGGTATGGGAAGGGGTAGAACACAGAGAACACAAAGGCAATAAGAAGGGGCTGTGATGGAAACAGGCCTGGTCCAACAGGTATTCCAGATGCAAGATAAGAATTAAGAGGGTATGAGGCCAGGAATGGTGGCTCAAGCCTGTAATCCTAACACTTTGGGAGGCCGAGGTGGGTGGATCACTTGAGGGCAGGAGTTAAAGACCAGCCTGACCAACATGGTGAAACCCTGTCTCTACTAAAGATACAAAAATTAGCCAGGTGTGGTGGCACATGCAGGAGGCCGAGGCAGGAGAATTGCTGAACCCAGTAGGCGGAGGTTGCAGTGAGCCAAGATCACGCCACTGCACTCCAGCCTGGGCAACAGAGTGAGACTCCATCTTCAAAAAAAAAAAAAAAAAAAAAAAGAGGGTATGGCCAGAGCCAGCAGCACTGGGTTTGGGGGCGTCTTCCCCATGGATCTTTGGGAACTCCCCAGAAGACACGTCGGCTTCGCGGGATCAAGAGGTCCTGCTCTGGAATTCTGCTCCAGCATTTTCGTTCCTTGGTCCCAGAAATTTTTCTTAGAACCGTTCAGCTTTCCAGCCCAAAAAGAAAGGAAATGGCCATCTCCTTCTGCCTTAAAACCACATTTTACTGAGGCCTTGAAGACAAAATTCCACTAGGAGGGGCATCTCACATTCCCTTTAGGGTCAGGATGAGCCCACACGCTGGCTCATCCCCAGTTCAGAAGGGAGAGAGCTCGAGGGAAGATCCCCAGGCCTCAAAGCCCTTGGGGATTTTGGCTTTCACAACAGTTCTGTTTTCCTTCTCCAATCCCAGGCTCTCCAACTGCAGGACCCCTGCCCAAATCCCTGCTTGGGTAGGGTAAGCCCAGGCAGCTGCTCTCTGATGGGTCCAACTGCAGCCCTAGCTCCAGGGCTCAGAGCAGCCCCCTCTGCTGCTCTACAGGCTTAGAAAAATTGTGGGGGGCGGGGGGATGTGTATGGTAATTTCCCAGCCTGGATGGACAGTGGTCAGTACACGAGAGCCAACACAGAACACATTTGGGGAAAACACAAACGCTTTACCCACACCAGAGGTGGCCTGGCCTCTGGGTGACTGGGCAGGAAGTGGGTGGCCAGTAGGAGGGGCTGGCAGGGGGAGAGCTCACCAGGTCCAGGGTCCCAAGGCCATCAGAGGGCTCTCCAGGAAGAGGAATTGGACTCTAACTCTTATATTGAAGTGGGTTTGGGTTCCTCCAGATGCCAGAGGTGTAGGGGGTTAGGGTTTGGGTTCCTCCAGATGCCAGAGGTGTAGGGGGTTAGGGTTTGGGTTCCTCCAGATGCCAGAGGTTAGGGGTTAGGGTTTGGCTTCCTCCAGATGCCAGAGGTTAGGGGTTAGGGTTTGGGTTCCTCCAGATGCCAGAGGTGTAGGGAGTTAGGGTTTGGGTTCCTCCAGATGCCAGAGGTTAGGGGTTAGGGTTTGGGTTCCTCCAGATGCCAGAGGTGTAGGGAGTTAGGGTTTGGGTTCCTCCAGATGCCAGAGGTTAGGGGTTAGGGTTTGGGTTCCTCCAGATGCCAGAGGATAGGGGTCAGCCAAGGACAAAGGCTCAGACCCTGGGGATGAAGGGAGCTCCACATCCAGCAGCAGGTTCTGACTTAGAAGCCGCATGTGCGATTTGCAGCCAGACAAAGCCCAGGCCACCGGTGTGGGTGACACTCCACAGGGAAGAGGTGCAGGGCCCAGAGTCCTGGAACGGATTCCCCGAGACAGGCTCCAGGCAGCCTTCTAGGGATTGCTTCCCTGAATGCCATTCAGTAACAAATCCCTTTGTTTTCCCTATCTGGCTGATGCACCTAGGAAGCAGACTCCTTACAGGACTTACCGCTGGATGAGGGAAGGCAGCAAGCTTGCAGCACGTCATAACTCTTAAAAATTGGGTAAATTTGGCCGGGCACAGTGGCTCACACCTGTAATACCAGCACTTTGGGAGGCGGAGGCAGGCAGATCACCTGAGGTCAGGAGTTCAAGACCAGCCTCGCCAACATGGCAAAACCCCATCTCTGTTAAAAAAAAAAAAAATACAAAAATTAGCCAGACTTGGTGGCACGCATCTGCAGTCCCAGCTACTTGGGAGACTGAGGCAGACGGAATTGCTTGAACCCGGAGGCGGAGGTTGCAGCCAAGAAGGCGCCACTGCACTCCAGCCAGGCCAACAGAGCAAGACTCCGTCTCTCTCTCTCTCTCTCTCTCTCTCTCTCTCTCTCTCTCTCTCTCTCTCTATATATATATATATATATATATATATATATATATATGACCAATTTGTCTATCTGTGTCATGGGGAGAGAATGAATGCCTCACAGCCAACCCACTTTGACGCATCGGTGACATGGCTGGGTCACGGCTCACCGAGGCTAAGGTTGGGCACAGCCTTCGTGGAAATAAAATGAGGAAGCACAAAACTCTAAATAAGCCAGCCAAAACAAAATCAGACCACTTAAAAAAAAATGACTGTAAGAGGTACCTCTTTAATGTGCAGTAATAGTCTAACATTTTATCTAGGCGGACTTGATCTCAAATAACCAGAAGGCAGGGCTCAACCTCAAGAAGGAACAGAGTGGAGGAATAATTCAGAACTGCTCAACTGAGCATTTAAGTAGCTTTTCTTCCCAACACAAGTGTCCTTCCAACCTCAAAGCTAAAATGTGGATCCTTCCCTGGTCCAGACTTGCAGTGCCCCATTGGGTCCAGCAGCCCCTTGACTTGGGATGCTTTCCTCAGGCCCAGCAGCCCCCAGAGCTGGTTGCCTGCAGGCTCTCCCGGAAAGCAAGCAGGGATACCCATCAGTCTGATGCAATGTCACAGCAGAGACATTGCATCCCGAGAGCGGGATTTCAAATGTGAGACACGTGAGAGTAAAGGTAAGTAAAGGAGGGCCCGGGGTGGCATCTGTAAGAAGCCTTGAAAGAGAAGCAAAAATTCAGCTGCAGGAGATGAAGGGAGATAGGGAGGCATGTTTGGGAATCGTGGGTAACAACCCAGTTTGGGACGGAGAATAAGGTTGGAGGGTATGCTGGGGACAGGCTCTAGATATGTCCCAGGCTGTGAGGAAGAGACACGAGGGCAGTGAGGGTCATACTGTGGCCTGCGGGCAGCCTCCATGGCAGCCTGGGGCACTCGGCAGGAAGGCTGGGTGGGGCTGGGTGGGACTGTGAGGGAGGCTGTGCTGGAAAGATCTTAGATTCGAGCTACACCACTCACCTGGGAAGCTAATTTGCCTCCCAGCCTCAGTGTCCAGTACAGAACACGTTCATGAGAACTGAACAAGTTAGCACGGTCTCAACGATTAAAATAACAGCGTCAAACGTGTTTCTCTGCCCCTTACGACCTAAGTCAGATTTTTTGTTCCATTCGAAGATTAAGGCCCAGTCTCAATGAAAATAATGTTAAC
The DNA here is from genome assembly GCF_000001405.40 of Homo sapiens. Classification (NCBI taxonomy): domain Eukaryota; kingdom Metazoa; phylum Chordata; class Mammalia; order Primates; family Hominidae; genus Homo; species Homo sapiens. The sequence goes on along the minus strand of NT_187624.1, from coordinate 78,303 downwards.
CATAGTAAGTCGTCCCAATTTCAAATCTCTGTTTTTCCCTAAACAAAACTTTGGTAAGGGCAGGGTGAGCACAATCCCACATGCTGACGAGCGACTGACAACCAAGTATTCAGTCAGCAGTAACTGGGAGGCTGCTCTGAACCATCCCCGGGCTCCCTGGGACGGCAGTTATCCTGGGAAACTCAGAGCCAAGAGGGAACTTGTCCCCCAGCTCTAAGTCTTGTAAAGAATGGGCAGCACCTTCAGTTAGGAGCCACTTTGGCTGCCCACAGAGCAGGACTGCTAAAGCCATTTGATTTTCAGAACCCAAAAACCCTGTAGGTGTAAAGACCCAAGCGCTTTGACAAGCTAGCTCAGCGAGGCGCACACCGGGATTGGGGACGCGCCTCGGGTCTGTGGCTCTGGCTCACTGGGAGGCCACCCCAGGCACCTGCTGCTGTCAGTTTGCGGTCCGAGAGTCTCAGGGACCTTCTAGGGCCTTCTAAAGCAGGCCTTGGTGCACCATGGAGCATCCAAACTCCCACTCTCCTCCCACTCAGGCAGGACAGGTCAGCCACTGGCAGCTCTGTGGGTCCCTGAGGGAGACATGGAGGGTCCCCCAGGACCAGGTGAGAGGCTCCAACCGCCTTGACCCAGGGCCCCCTCTTCTCACGCTCCTCCTCTGATGTGTGGATTGCAGGCAGCAAAATGGAAAAAAAGAAGAGGACCCAGATGGCTTCTGCCCCAGCCCTCAGACCAGTGTTGAACACGATGGAGGTGTGAAGCCAGGCGTGAGAGAGAGGTGGGGCCAGCAGGCTCATCTGTCAGCAGCTCAGGCCATATGGTGCCTCCACCTTTCCTCCCGAGCATCCAGATCCCCAGTGCTCACCCCCACCTTGCCTGGCCACCCTGACTCCTGCAGAGCGCTGCAGCCTACTTCCTGAGGACCATCCAACCTGCACCCTCCTGGCACAGGCCGTGCTCCCAGGCCACAGTCCCAAATAAACCCCAAGGCACAGGGAACATATCCAATCAACTCCAAGCAACCCCAGGGCAAACCACACACTCAGTTGCCAGAGCACAAAGTCACTCTCTTGAAGGTTGGGGCTGCTGAGTGGAGGCTTCCGGTGCTGCAGGACAAGGGGTGGCAGGAGGACCACAGACACCCACAGCTGTGTCGACATCCTCTCTCCTCTGCAAGGCCTGGACTCCAATCCTGGCCAAGGCAGATGTACTCAGCCAGGGCAGATTAAAGCACGCTGAGTTACTTTCGTTCCCGATTAAAATAACATTGCATTTTTAAGTGCAAATTGTAAAATAAAAAAAAGGATGAAGTGATGGGTGAAACCAATCTTCCCACAAGGAACGCTCCTAATGGCATTAACCCTGGGGAGAAAAGACTCCACACTTGTATCTGGTTAGTTCCAGTAACACTGAAGAGAAACAGGAAGACATTTTCAAACTACACTTTCCACTTGCAAGTATCCATTAATCTCTTCTCTCTGAAGCTGGCTCCGTGGAAGCCTGAGATCAAAAACATTTTAATTCCGGTGAAATTCCTCTTGCTCATTTTTGTTTTGAGTTTTTTAAAGTGATGTTTGGGGAAATTTGGTCTGAAAGACAGAAAAATGCCGGGAACCTCAAGAGGCCGTGAAAGCACATTCCACCCCCCAGGCCTCCAGCAGACACTCCGGGCTGGGCAGTGGGCTCCCCAGTGGGGCTGTCCTGGAGCGGGGATGGGTCCCGCAGTCCCCAAAGAGCAGGAAGCCCACGGGGGAGCAGCACGGCAGCCACTGCTCTCTTCCCTTCTGGGAAACACGGCGTTTCTCGGTCTGACTAATCTAATGATGCTGGTTCCCAAAGACCATTTTCCTGTAAACTCACACCACAACATTCCTGTTAAAATTACATCTGTAGACAACTAACTTCTGGTTTATTCATGAGGGAGTTCACACGGAAAATGCAGAGGGGGAGGATCTAAGATGAGGAAGATGGGAGAGAGGAAGAAAGAGAAGAGCCCCCCCAGCCCCTGCGGGCACCCTGCTCCACTCTCCCGCCCAGGTTCCTACAAGAGAACAGGCAACAAAAGAGGGGCTCTGAGATGTGTCTTCCAGCATTGGGACAGGCAGAGCATCCACTCTTCAAGATGCCTGAGTAACATGAAAGTCTGGCTGACCGTCCAGTACCCTGCCTGCTCGCAGATCAGGTGACCGCCAGCAGCCCCCACCCACCCCACAGCTAACCTCCTGACCCCTGTTCCACCAGCTGGGTCAGTTCTCTACCTCCTCATCTACTCCAGGCCCGGTGCTGACCAAAGTGTTCTGGTTGTTCCCGGTCTCATCCCCACCCTGAGCCCCGACAGAGGGACTGGGTGGACACAAGCCTTGCTCAGTCTTTTCCAAAGTAGACGCACCTTTTGCACTGAGTCCGTCCAGGAAGAGCTCAGCCCCCACCAGCCCGCCCACTGCCACCGAGCAGCGGCTGGAGGCCCCGGGTTTCTCTCTGGCACTTTGTCAGTCTTCAGGAACCTCTCCTGCTCTCTCTGCACAGTACTGGGTTGTGCAAACTGGCATTCCAAGCGGCCCAGACATCACCAGACTGAGCAGCACCAGGAAGACAGTTAGTCAGGCTCTGACCCCTGTCTCCCCAGTGCAGAGTGGTGTGGGTCTCCTCTACCCACCACACCACCACAAATGTCATTGTCTGCACATTCAGTGACCCCAGGCCAGAGAGGAAGGGAGTGAGTCTCTGAGCAGCACCAGGGAGAGCGCCCACCACATCCACAGCAGGGACAGGCCAAGCTCCAGCCACCATCCAGGCTGCCGTTGGTCAGCTGCCAGAGCTGCCCAGCATGCACCCCCGTGGCCGCATACCCTCTGCCAGCCTCTCCCTGACATCTCCGGCACTAACAGAGCTTCCAAGTAGAGGCTGCTGCAACCCCCAGACCAGAGCAACTTTGCATCCCACATGGCTAGAAGGGGTCATCTCAGAGAGTGTTTCCCCACTCATGCACCAGGGGCATTCAAGGGAGTAGGTGACCACTGCCTTTGCCAGAATCTTCCAAGAGGGGCCAGAGCATTAGCTCTGAACAACTGAGGCTACCTCCAGATCTGTGGGCAATGGCTGAGGGTCACAAAAACCCTCGAGTGGCACTTTGGACAGAAGCAGCCCCCCTGCCTCGGGTCTCTGAAGAGGGCTACCAGGCCCTCTTCAGGGATTCATGGCCCAAGGAGGTCAGAGCCGAGGCTGTTCCAGAGCAGAAAGGCCTCTTTGTCCAACTCTCTGTGGCTCCTGCTCAAGCTCCTGGATCAGCAAGTACCCCTGGGAAGTTCGGCAAACGTCCAGGTGCCCAGGGGGTCGGGGGGACCCTGTAGGAGTCTCAGTCTCTACGGGACAGAAGAATCCATAAGACTGCCTCCTTCTCTTTGAAAACAAACTGCCCTCTAAGCCCTGACCCAGCCTCCTCTGCACAAGGAACAGCTACCGAGGGAGACAGGGCAGGGTCCTGCCTCTACTGATAGCAGCACCCTGGCTGGTACCACAGGACTCCAATCCCTGCTCTCTTACTCTTTTGTTTACCGTTAATTAACAGGGCCATATGGAAGGAGGCGATAATCACAGCCAAGGACCAATGGGAGGGGAGCCCGGGGTGGCAGGGAGGCTGGGGGCCGAGGGGAGCCTCCCTCAGTCAGCCCTGTAGAGGATACAGCACCCCCACTCCCCAGGCCAGAGTGAGGCCAGGACAGGCTCTGCTGGCACCTCAGAGGAGACAGAGGCAGAGCATACCCCTCAGCACCGAGTGGGCCCCCCCAGGTCTGCCCCACATCCCTCCCACCTTTTGTGCACTCAGCCACTGGCGTTAGAGGTGTCCTCAGTTTTCTGTGATTTAAAAGAAAAAAAAAAACTGCAAGGGCAAAATTCTCCACCGACCTCTCCCAAAAGGATAATTATAATCATCGCTGCCATTATCATCATCGTGACAGAGTCCATGCCCAGGACCAAACCCACCTGCAGCCACGGAACCCCCCGCACCACCGCAAATGTTTGGTTTCCAAAATTAAACACCCAACTTTACCAGCCAATGGTGTCCACTGATTCAAAGGTGATGCTGAGACAAGCAAAGCCCTTGGTGACTCAGGAGGAGCAGTGAGAACCCACCACTCCAACACAAAGCCACCAGCACTTGTTTATTTTCCTGGTTTATAGAGAAGAAAGTGAATTCAATAGACAGAACCAAAGTCCACGGCCCCAGAACTACAGACAATGGCATTAGGGTGTTCAACTTCTTAGCTAACCCTGATTTTTAGTTTTAAATACAAAAATCCAGTTACACTACCACCATAAACAACCACACTCCACAGCTGCACGGACACGTAGCGAAAAAAGGGGCTGAGAGGAGCGGCCGATATTTACTTCTGCACATCTATCCCACAGACGCATGCACCCTAGATATTGATCCTTAAGTTGAGAAATGCATGACATGCAGACAAAACGTTCACGTGAGCACCTCTCCTCAGTACCTTGGGTGGGGGTCACACATGACACACCCCAGACTCTGAGACCCTGCTTCAGAGAGGTCTTCTGCTTAAGCGGCCAGTGCTCTCCCCAGGTACGGGGCTGCTGGGTCCCACGGCCACAGACATATCCGTTGTTCCTCTTCCAGAAATGCGCATAAAGTTTCTGGTTTTGATATGCGCTCCCCTTCCCCTAATGTCTCCTCTGTCAGACGCACAACATGTCCCCTGGAATCTCAGAGGAGCATGAACAACAGAGAGACAGGAGAAAAACAGCACACGGCAGGCCAGGGAGGAGAAGAAAGCCCCCGTCCTCCAGAGCAGTTTCAAAAAGCCATCCTCAGACCTGCTTTTCCTGCAAACAGAGCCTTCATCTTAGAAATTAACTCTGCCCGCGCGCCCTCTCCCTGTCTCTGTCCAAGAGGAAAAGCCAAGCGTTGGGTATCTGCCTTTGTCAGAAAGAACGTAACGTTGACTTACCTTTCCCCACAGCTATTGTCTGTCCTCTTTCAAAATGACATCACGGAAAGCAATCATGAAATTTACATGGGGGGTGCAGGGTGGACTGGGGGAGGAGAGGGAAGGCAGCTGCCTCCCGTACAGCGGTCACATGTGGGGAAGCCTGCGTGCGGGTTTCAATTAAATATCTTCTCCCCTTAGTGTGCGAACTCCTAAGCCAGCTAAAGGCGACGTCTCATTTACTTAATGACTGCTCTCATTAGCAGCGGTGGCACGGGCTGGCGGAGGAGGCTCCTTTGTAAATACGCTACCCATGAACCCTTGGGGCTCCAATATATCTGTTTACTCTCTGAGGTGAAATAAATTTACAGTATAGCATCAGAAAGATGGATCTGCTGAATTGGGGGTGAGAGGTGTCCCAGTCCGGTGGAGTCCTGTGTCCTGCTCTGAGCCTCGGCCAACAGAAGGTGCCTATGTTTGTCCACACTGATTCATACTCAATGTGCAGCATGATTGAGTTTTTTTAAAAAGCAAAACACACAAAAGGGCAGAGAGCATCACAACCACCACATTCACCCCCCTCTGCTTTCTCTGCCAGTGGTTCAGTCCAATAATTCCTAATAGCAGCAACCGGAATGACAGATGCCCCGGGTTAGCATGGCTACAGCGAAAGTACTTTACAATATTTATTGGTGGTGAGGAATATGATCTACCATCATAAAGAGCGGGCTGCAGAATTTATTACTCAAATGAACCAGGAATATTACATATCGGCTCATCTGCATATTCAAGTACCCCTGACTTAAATGGATATGTATTTTTTAACGGCATAAAAGGTAACTATAGCCACAGACCAAAAAATAGAGTCATGCACACAAAGAATAGATCAGGAAAAGACATTTTTCTGTTCTCACACTTTCCCTTTTCACTTTAATTTTTACAATAATAAAAACCTTCCCAAAGAGAACTCAGGGATTCCTGGGCATGGGAACCCCCCCACAAAAAGACTAAGTTTATTGCAACCAGAGCGAAGCACACTGCCCAAGTTTTCTGCTCTTTTCCTGATTCTTTTATAAACGGCCTGAAAGGAGCTATCCAGTGAAAATCAAGAAGAGAAAAATCCATAACACACACAATAGAAGTGCTCACCCACTCTCTATGCAGCCTGACTGTCTGCCTTCTCATCTGCCAGTTTGTGATATTTTCCCCCACATTCAGGGATAAAGTGGGAATTTCTTCAGTAAGAGAACTCAAGAGCCAGAGTATTCTTGTTTGCGGCCCAAATCTCCTTCTTGTACTGATAAATCAGGCAAACGATTGTCCATTATCATAATCAGGATGTTAGAAATGAAACTGTGAAACACAAGGGTGAAAACTCAATGTGAGACGCCTGCAAAGATGCCGCCGTCCAAGGGCAGCTGGAGAAGCAGAAAACTCACATCTCAGAAGTTCAGTGCAGAGATTTCAACAGACAGTAAACATCATTTCTTGGTAAATTATGCAAGAGCACAATACCCCAACTTAATTAGCGCTAAAGGGCTCGGGCCACCAAAAGTGTGACTGAGGCAGAACTGAACACAGCTTTCTCTAAGAGAGCATGTTTTGAAAATCTTAGTGGCTTATTTTTAACATACAGTTTGTGCTTTACACGTTACATACAAACCAAAAGCTTCACCCCAAAGGCAAGTATCTTAGATTCTTATACGCACACATTATCCTCAACAAATAAAACACAAAATGCACACAGAGCAATTGTTCAGATTGAGCACAAGGACATAAATGCAAGCCTGCACTGGTCAAACTGAGGATGAAATATTAATTAGTCAAATGAGAACAGTTCGAGGTTTCCACAATGACTGCCTACCATTTTTAATTTCTGTCATAAACTTATATCCATTAGTATAAAAGGACACATTCAGCTGAGAGCACTCCTGAAAAGCCGTTTCTGTCTCCTCTGGACATGCTGTGAGTGCTAGGATGTCTTACACCCCAAACCTTCGGCATTCAGAAATTCTATTAAACTCTTATCGGCAGGCTGCAGGCTCCGGGCAGGCTTGCGGGCCATTGTTCCATGATGAATACAGAATCAAAGGGAGGGCCGTTGCTGAATCAGCCTTATTTCCCAACGACACCCAAGGTTTCATGAAAGCGACTTAATTCAGATATGCAACAGTCACACCTAAGAAACCACAGCGAAGCGGAGGTGGCAGCAGGAGAGATGAACCTGCGCAACACGGGCTTCGTGGGGCACAACAGTTTTTTCAGGTAATAGAAATTGTATTTGTGAAAACGTAAGTCTTTCGGCATTTCTCACTTCCCCTTTTGAACAATCACAGGCCTCCTGAGGTGTGGCGCTCCGGGGGTCGGGAATGGGCCCCCAGACCCTCTGTGGCGCTGCCAGGAGGAGCATTCAGAATGTGCCTGGAAACTTGAAATCGGTGCCTGCTGGCAGGACCTAGGGCGCCCTGGGAGCTCCCACCGGGAGGTTAAAGTGCTATGAGCAGTTTCCGAAGATGAGCTTTGATGAGTAAAGGTTCGAAGTCTTTAGCTGACCCCGTCAAGACAAAGGAGTCCAGGGAAAAGAGCAGGACAGAAGAGCGGCCGCCGGCACGTCTCTCCGGTTCGGCTGCCGCCCTTCAGCCCCTGGGAGGCGGCCTGAGCGGTGGGTGGATCCGAAGTCTGATCAGCACTTCGGACAGCGCTCTCCCCCCAGAGCGCCTCAGTCTTTGTTCTCCGCACACGGAAGCTTCTGAGCTCGCACCAGTATTCAGCTATCGCTGAACTCTGGGCTCCGGGCTGAGACAGAGAATTCCAAACCCCAACAGATCCCTGCTTGTAAGTGACAACAGCAAGGTATAGTCTTAAGCTTCCTTTCTTAGAGAGGGTGAAAATTTGTCAGGACTTTTTGAAATCATAAAATATTTTCTCTTCCATAACTGAGCATGTTGCACGCTGTTCCTTTGGGTTTTATTTCATAAAAGTCTGTGGGAAAGTCACATGTGACTTTTTAATAATATGTTTGGAAAGATCCACCAGGAAATAACTCCTGTCTGACTGGCGGGTCCTCAGACTCCACACGGGGAGGGAAACGGGAGATTTGCAAAACCAAACTTACGCCGCAGCCGCACTCGCTGAGAAAGCGCTTTGTGTGAGTGGGGGAGCAGGCTTAATGATCGCTTAGCTGGTAAGATCATTTCAAATAAAGTGTAATTACTTGTGCAAATCTGCACACAGACATTCCAAGTGTCAGTTCATTTGCTTCATAAAAACTCTTTCAAGTAATTTTGGTCTAAACTTTCTGCATCTGTAATTGGCACCACCTTCTCCGGTGACCAGCTGGGGGTGAGGGTTTTCTTGTTTCCTTCTGAAAGCTTCCCCGCAGATGGGCGCCTGCCTTAATGCTGCAGACGACAATTAGGGCCGTTGTGTGAGGCCGAGATGGTGAGCATTAATATTGTATAGAACAGCTGAGGGCGGGGGTGCTGCCCCAGGCCGGCCCTGGCAGATGGAGCAAACAAAACCGGGATCCACTCTCCGCCACACTCGGGGCTGACTTTGTGTTTCTGTCTCACACTCACGCAGACGCTCACAAACATTTGGCATCCAGTTTGTGAGACCCTCACATACATATGCACACTCACACACGTGCACTCACACACACAGCAACTTTGAGTGTGATGAGGACGCAAGCAGCAGCGGCCCTGGCCAAAGCCCCTTAGCTACAGTTAAGTCCCAGGGGACATCTGTCGCGCGCACGCGCGCGCGCACACACATTCTCTCTGCCACCTTCTCACAGAGTCTCACAGAGCCTTGCTCCAGGCCAAGGGCTCCTGACACCCACCAGCTATATGGCCTGCCAGGCAGATCCAGGCAGGTAAATCAACAGAAAGAAGGCCCAGCTGGCCTCTGCACACACCCTGCCCACCGCCCTCCCACCTCCAACCTTCTGCAGGGCAGCGTTCACAGGGCTCTGTGCCGTCAGCACTTCTGCAAGCCACGGGATCCGCTAGAAGGGGAGGTGGCTGTTTCCCCAGGGGCCCTGGCCATTGTTCAGGAGGGAGCATGTCTGTCACCTCCTTGGCTGCCCAGAAAAGAGCACTGAGCTCTGAGGGGGGGACACACACAGCTAATTAGTCCCTTTGGCATCTTCGCAGAAACTTGTGAACAGACCAGGGAGGGACGCGAGGGGCTGGGGGTGGTACGCACCCAGGAAGGTCCCGCAGAGCGTCATCCTGGCCAGGGGGTGCACCTTCTCTCTGGGAACACACGTCACTTCATGCTGGAAAAAGTTGCTGCACAAACTTGTGTCCCAGGGCCCTGGGGAGACCCCACTGCATCCAGCCAATCAAGACCAGGGAGCAGATAATCACAAATTGATGCCCCGGCTGCCTGCCAATGAGGCTCTCTTCTCCACACAATGGGCTCAGGCCCCAGACAATCTCTCCCCCACCCCGCAGGGCCAGGGAAGGGGAGTGAGGGGAGGCAGAGACACAGCCCTTCCCACACAGTAATGGACTCACAGTGAGTGAGGGGAGGGGGCCCTTCCTGAAGATGCATCCCTTCCCCCGCTTCCTCTCTCGGAACTGCCACACTAGGTCCAGCCTGAAACCTGGTGGGGAACCAGCCAGGATGCATGAGTGGGGTCAGGTCTCGCTCCCTACAACCCAATCACTGCCTGTTGAGACAAGGCCCCTGAGGGCCCTCAGCTGGTGTGGTTGACTCCCCACCACCAGATCCCAGGCACAAGGTATGGTGGGAGGTGCCAGGGGGAGGCAAACTGTAGAAGTCAAGAATCCCTCGACAACCTCAGGCCCTGCAGGCAGAGGGTGGGGTGTGCAGGAAGGAAAGGGCAGGGAGAGAGGGCTGCCCAGAAGGACCTGGACCTTCCAGCAGCTACAGCCGCGCCAGGGCCAGGGAGGGGCAGGGTGTGTGGATGGGAGTGAAGGTGGGCACTGCAGAGGCCTCTTCCAGAATGATTCCTAGTCCCTCGAACTGGGCCCACGACCTTTCACTGCCCACAGGGGCCCTTTGAAACGATGAACTTGGCCTCACCATGGAGCCCGGCTGTCCTCTGGGCCAGCTTCCCCTGATGCCGAGGGAAGCTCCCATCACCCCAGGCAGCTCAGGGTCACCTCCTGGTCCTCAGGTTCTGCAGGTGTCTGTCCCTGCAGGGGACAGGTGGAGGCCCAGGTGATGCTGGCTTACCTCTACCAACACGTGGCCAAGTCCAGGCTAGTCTCTCCCATCCAGGGCAGCACTGAGGGGGAGGCCCGGAGTATGGAGGGTTCAAACCTTTGGAGGAGGCAGATCTGGACTGACCCCTGACCGGCCCCTCCCAGCTGGGTGACCAAGAGCAAAATGTTTAACATTTACATCTTCAGTGAGGTCTATGGTGAGTGCTACTGGGCGGCAATAGACGGTAAAGGGTGTCCCAAGAGAAGTGACGAATTGCATTCGAGTTGGGACACCCCCTCAGGAATGAATCGGGTTGCTGAGGGTCTGGATGTGGTAGGGACAGAGAGGCCACAGGAGACTCCAGGGCTGGCCAGAGCCATGAGGTGGGCGGCAGCACCCCCTGAGAGGGAGACGCTGAAGGAGGGCAGATTTGTGGGAGTTGCTGGCTCTGCTGGGATGTCTGAGCGCCTGTTAGTCACCAGGTGACACCGTCAACAAGGGTGACAGTATGGAGGCTGAGGCTGGGGGCAGAGATTAGGCTGGAAATAAATGGTGAGTCATCTTGTTTAGAGGAGAGAACATCGAGGGGTGAAGGTGCTCAGAGGCTGGTGAGCGTGCAGGAGAAGCAGGAGGAAGCAGGTGGGTGCAGGGGGGACAAGTGGGAGGCCAAGAGGGGCAGGTAGGGGTGGGGAGACAGGTGGGGCAGGTGGAGGTAGGAGGGGGGAGGGGGGACATGTGGGGGGCAAAAGAGGGGCAGGTTGGAGGCAGGGGAGACAGGTAGGACAGGTGGGGCCAGGAGGGGCATATGGCAGTGGTGAGACAGGTGGAGCAAGTAGGGGGAGGGGAGGGGATGGGGTCAGGAAGGTAGAAGAGGGGCGGGGTCAGGTGGGGCAGGTGGTGGCAGGGACCAGTGGGGCAGGTGGGGGACACAGACAGGTTGGGCAGGTGAGGACAGGGGCAGGTGGGGCAGGTGGGGACAGGGACAGGTGGGGCAGGTCGGGGAAAGGGGTAGGTGGGGCAGGTGGTGGCAGGGGCCAGTGGAGCAGGTGGGGGACACAGACAAGTGGGGCAGGTGGGGGACACAGACAAGTGGGGCAGGTGGAGCAGGTGGGGGACACAGGTGGGGCATGTGGGGCAGGTAGGGGAAAGGGGTAGGTGGGGCAGGTGGTGGCAGGGACCAGAGGGGCAGGTGGGGGACACAGACAGGTTGGGCAGGTGGGGACAGGGGCAGGTGGGACAGGTGAGGACAGGGGCAGGTGGGGCAGGTGGGGATGGGGCAGGTGGAGACAAAGACAGGTGGGGACAGGGACAGGTGGGATGGAGCAGGTGGGGCAGGTGAGGACAGGGGCAGGTGGGGGACAGGAACAGGTGAGGACATGAACAGGTGGGCAGGACAAGGATAGGCAGGGACAGGGGCAGGTGGGGGCAGGGGTAGGTGGGGCAGGTGAGGACAGGGACAAGTGGGGCAGGTAGGGACAGGAACAGGTGGGGACAGGGGCAGGTGGGGCAGGTTGGGCACAGGGATGGGTGGGGCAGGTGGGGCAGGTGGGGACAGGATGGGGACAGGGGCAGATGGGAAAGGTGGGGACAGGAGCAGGTGGGGACGGGGACAGGTGGGGCAGGTTGGGGACAGGGACAGGTGGGGACAGGGGCAGGTGGGGGCAGCTGGCCACAGCAGATGCTGTGTGGAAGAAGGGTTTTCCCCTGTGAGTTCTGCCTCTTCTCCTCGTCCACAAGGACGTCTGTGCTTAGGGGAAGTGACCTGGGGCAGATTGCCAAACCTTTCTGTGACTCAGTTTCCCGATCTATCAAATGAGGGCAACAGAAATGTCAGAAAGTGCCAGCAGGGGTTGGTGCTGATCCATCTGCCCGCCCATCACGGAGACACCCCTCGCAGTAGCCAGGGGGCTCCTCCCAACACCACAGCTATCAAATGCAGTTTGCAGTTCCAACTTGCTCCACCTGACTGGGACTCCCTACCCTTGGGGAAAATATGTTCTTCGGATGGAGTTAATTAAGACTGATTATTTAAAGGAACAATGGTGAGAAATCCAGGAAAAGCTTGTGCTGCTGCCTTTCGGTAGAACCAACCAGCCTGGTAATCCATCACGTGATGAAACGACTTGGACACGTTCAGAATCAGGAAAGACAGGGCCAGCGCTCCTCTCTGAAGTTCTGCTCGAGAAAGGCCCTCCAGCTCCCCCACCCCAACTCAACACGTGCTCAGGGGGCCAGCTCCAGGGGAACCTGGCCAGGCTGAGTCAGAACTCACCAGGTTGACCGTGGATGCATTAGGGTTTGAGGGGCATTTGCCATAGGCCATGCGGCCCAGCCTCACCCCACAGCCGGGAGAGTCCAGCCCCGTGTGTGGGATGCAGCTCTGGCTATTGAAGGTGGCAATACCTCAGCCTCCCTCAGGGCTGCGTGTAGCCACTGTACCTCCCTGCCCTCAACAGGAAGCCGGGCTGCAGCTGACCCAAGGGAAGCCGTCTGGACATCACCCACCATAGCTGGGTTCCCAGCACTCAGCGCCACCTGGGCTGACGTGATATGTCCGGACACATCCCGGGCTCCAGAGGTCACAGGCTGCTGGTCATCGCTGTCTAGGCTGGCACTGGTTTCTGCTTTAGTAGGGCACCCAATACAGGGGCACCTATGAAGCCCCTCTGGTCTGCCCATACGGCTCCTCTGCCTGCTCTGCCCTGACCCAGGGCCATGACCTTGGAAGGCGGCATCCTAGGGGGTTGGCTGGGCTGTGGGGATGCTGAAACAGCAGAGTGACCTGGAGGACAGAAGCTGCTCAGAGGACCCAGGTCACCAGGCCCTCAAGCCTCTGAGGGGGCCAGCCCAAGGGTCCTGGGGATCTGTGCATCTCACAGCAGCCTCAGCAACAGCCCAGCCCAGGAGACAAAGGATGTGGGGACAGAGGAAAGACAGAGGAGAGACAGCTGAGGGCTGGGGGCACCGGCAGGAGAAGGCAAAGTCACCGTGACTGCTGTGGCACCAGAGGAGACAGCTCCCTGCAGCAGGGGCAGCCTAGGCCAGGCCTCAGGAAGAACTGGAAGCAGCTGCAGAGGGGCTTCCTTCCCATCCCCCTGGAAGTCAGACTGGTGTCAACGCTCTGTGGAGCTCAGAGGGGCCTGCAGGGCAGGGTCAGCTGAACAAGGCTGCAAGCTCAGCCATGCGTGGTTTGGGGAAGCCAGGAGGCTCCATGCTGAGCCCAGGATGCTGCATCTGTCCAGCCCTGTGGAGAGAGAGACAGAAGCTCCTGACAGGGAGGCCTGACCAGGAAAGGGTGAGGGCACAGCATGAGTGAAGGCCGCAGGGCGGGAAACGGAAGCACATTCAATGAACAGCGGGACTGGGCTCAGAGGGAGGAGCTCAGAGTGAAGGGCTTGGAGAGTAAGAAGCTCAGGCTGAAGGCACTACCCTGGGCACTGGGCCCAGGAAGCTAAGAGCAGTACGAGAAAGTACCCCCGCCCCCCCACCCGCCTCATGACCTGGCCACCCTGAGGCAGAGGAAAGTGGGGAGGAGAGACAGGTGCGCCCAGAGTGGACCAGGAGAACAGTGAGGGACAGGCCCCTGCCTGACTGTTCTAGGAGCATCCAAGAGGGTGAGGCAGGGGTGGAAACCCCCTGATGTCCTGGTCCTACCAGCACAGAACGATAGCCAAAGGCAAAAAGCAGCTGAACCAGTAGGAGAGATACGAGCTGGAGACAAAGGCCAAAGAAACAGAGGCAATGGCCAGGGAGGGGGTCCAGGGACCAGGGTCAAGGCGATTAAACACAGAGACAGACACAGACAGGGGCAGGAAAGGAGACAAAGGATGGAGAGGGAGAGGTGGCCCACAGGCAGAGAGGTGAGGCAGAAACCAGGCCGGCTCAGACACACAGATGGACAGAGAGGTGAGGAACACAGAGAAAGAGAGGAGGACACAGACTGGCCGACCACCAGGGTGCCCAGGAACCGGCTCGGTGACAGCAGGAAAAGGGAGCAGCCGGTGGGGCACACTGACTGTCCCTGTCATCACCTTCCACCCTGCAGGGGTCACACCACATCAGCATGTGCATGTGCGTGTGTGTGCCTGAGTGTGTGCACAGACACGTGTGAGGACAGAGGGCCCAGCGCCTTGCCCTGCTCCAGGCTCTGTTTAAATGGCTTTGGAATTGTGCTCCCAGAACAGATGGCCTCGGAGATAAAGCTACCGGGTGCCTGGACAGAGAGCGAGGCTGCGGGCGGTTGCCATGGCAGGCTGGACTGGTGAAGATCGCTCATTAGCAGACAGAGCAGGGCTCACAAATGTCAAGATGGGCTCATGGGGAGGGGCACCCCCAGCAGAGCCCCGGGAGGGAAAGTCTCTGGACTGAATGTCCGGGCCCTGCATTCCCAAGAATGGAGCTTGGTGGAACCGGTAGGCACTGGCCAGCTGCTGACTGATGTCCAAGGATGACAGCCACGCTGGCCTGGCCATGTTGGGAGAAACACCCCTCCAGTCTCTGTCCCAAGATGCCCAAGCTGGAGCCTGAGACACACTGACCCTGGGATGGTTCCAGCCATGCCCCACATGGGAGATCAAGAGCCAGTTCGAGGCCAACACCACACTCTGGGATGACAGGATGGCTTCCTGAGTGAGGCAGTCCCCATCCTCACATGCAGCACTCTGGGGAGGGGTGGGAGCCGACCACAGGGGCTCTACAGCCTGTGCCCAAGGCCCTCCCATCCCAGCTGGGAGCCCAGAGAGGGAAGGGGCAGCTGGAGCCCTGGACAGGGTCTAGGAGACAGATCCCAGAGCGAGATCCCCCATCATTCCAACAAGCACACCCTGAGCACCTCCATGGCCAAACCCCACTGAGGAAGCCAGGTTGGATGTCCCCACTGCCACTCAAGCTATGGGTCCAGCCCCTGAGGAGGAGGAACGAGGATGCTCCTATTGGTGCCGGGCACAGGGCAGCTTCATCCTTTAGTCCCCTGAGGGTCCACAATGTTGTTCCCAACTTGTAGGTGGGCTCAGAAGGGTCGAGGGCCCGCAGCTCCCAGACAAAGCTGGGACTGACGCCCTGGACCGTCTGGCACCAAAGGCTGGATCTGAGCCAAAGAAGGGCCTCACTGGTGCCTTCCTCAAATGAGAGCTCAGGAGGGACAGACCCAGGGCCAGAGGGGTCCCCTGCTAGGCTTCAAAGGGAGGCAGAGCCAGGACAGGAGGTTTCTGCCCTGGAGTGAGCAGGAGGCATGCGGAGGTCCAGGAGCAGAGCCGGGGCACGCGGCGTGGGGTCCAGGAGCAGAGCCAGGGCACACGGCGTGGGGTCCAGGAGCAGAGCCGGGGCACGCGGCGTGGGGTCCAGGAGCAGAGCCGGGGCACACAGTGTTGGGGCAGCTGGGATGGCACAGGGGACCCTGGGCAGGTGCCTAAAGGGCACACCCACCAGAACAACAGGGAACACGGGCCATGGAGCCTGGAAGGCCTGGGACTGCCCAACAAGCCCATGTGCCTGCACCCGACCAGGAGCTCTGCCTAGAGCCCCAGAACCTTCCCCAGGACCCCAGCCTAATATACCCTCCAGATAACCCCACCTTCCCAGGCCAGAGCAGCGTGGGCCCTCCAAATCCAAGAGCCCCGGGAGGCCCTTCCATCCACCACACACAACAGACCCTACACACACCCCACAAATGCACAGACACACAGACATACAGACATACACACCATATACACACCACACACACATACACACATACCACATACACACAACAGACCCCACACACACACCCCACACATGCAGGCACACACACAGACATACACACCATATAGACACCACACACACACATAGACACACACAAACACACACACACCACATACCTCAGACCCCACAGACCCACAGACACACACACCACACACAGACATACACACAATATACACACCACACACACACACAGACACACACATACACACACCACATACATCAAACAGACCCCACAGACCCACAGACACACACACACACCACACACAGACATACACACCATATACATACCACACACACACAGACACACAAATACACGCACACCTCAAACACACCACACACATACACACAACACAAACACACATACACACCATATACACATCACACGCATATATACAGACACACAAACACACTACATAAACACACACACTGCACATACACACATGCAGTGTTTGTGCAGTGGATCTGCAGAGACCCGCCGGGATGACACCGCCTCCTCTGCCAGCACACACAGGCCATCAGTTCCTCCTCATATGAGGCCCCAAGCCCCGCACAGCCCAGTTATGACCAGGAACTAAGGCTCAGACAGCGACTAAACCGAGCAAGGTGTGAGCCCCAAGGAGGCGGCAGGGGAGCGCAGCCGTGTTCTGAGTGGCCATTGTCCCACCACCTGTGCCAAGAGCCACTGGCCCTCTCGGGCGTGGGTTTGCTGGCCCTGCCCCAACACTTCAGCTGCAAGGGCACCTGTATGCAAATGCCACCAAGGGCACAGGGGGAGGGGGCTGCCCAGGCCAGAGCATGCAGGGTGCTGGGAGAAAGGCAGAGGAGGTGACCTGGGGTGACAGCTGTGTGCTTGGGGTTGGGAGGACACAGGTCCCCCCCCACCCCAAGGGATAAGCAAGATCATGAGAGGAGGGGTGTGAGCCCCACCCCGAGCCTGGGAGCCCGAGGCACCGGCTCTAAAGAAGGGGCTGTCAGGCTGGGTATGGTGGCTCACGCCTGTAATCGCAGCACTTTGGGAGGCCAAGGCGGGCGGATCACAAGGTCAGGAGTTCAAGACCATCCTGGCAAACATGGTGAAACCCTGTATCTACGAATAATATAAAAACTAGGACATGGCATTGTGCATCTGTAGTCCCAGCTACTCGGGAGGCTGAGGCAGGAGAATTGCTTGAACCCGGGAGGCAGAGGCTGCAGTGAGCCGAGATCACACCACTGCATTCAAGCCTGGGCAACAGAGTGAAATTCGATCTCAAAAAAAAAAAAAGGAAAAAGAAGATGAGGCTGTCCCACCTGAGGAACAGGGTGCTTGGAGCACGGGCCTGCCTGGGCCCAGGCACATCAGTCTCTGTATGAAGCAGGTGCGCTGACCCCTCCTCTCATCCAGCTGCAAAGTCTGCTTGGAAACCCTGCCTTGGACCCTCTGAGTCTGCAGGAAGCCGTCCCGCCTGGCAGTCCCGGCAGGAGGAAGTACCCTTACACACTGGGATGATTCCAGTGAATCATCACCGTGCCTCACAGGAAGACTGAATTTACTTGTTTTACAGGATCAAAGAAATGATAGATCTTTTCTGAGGGCCATGACAGCATGGCTGAGTCAGGAACGGGGCCTCAGTGGGGCCACGTCACTGGTACACAAAGTCCCAGGCCCCGACCTGCAGCAGCCAACACAGACTTGGAGGCTCAAAGACCAGTAGATGTCCGACAGCACCACATGAAGAACCGACGGGCAAGAGCTTCCAACAGAGACCCACGTGACAGGCAATGTGTGCACACCAGGTACACAGCGGACCAAACACACACACACAAGCCCTGAGACCACACAAAGCCCGTGGGTCAGATTCAAGGTAGCTGAGACCCAGCTGGACCACCGAGATGTGTACCCATCCTGCACCCTCGCTGCAGCCACAAGCTCGTCTTGGGCTCCCCTCAACCTACCTGACTGATGAGGACCAGAAACGCGGGAACATTCTGCCACCGGTTTCCAAATCACAGACGATCCCAGACATTCCACTGGCTCCAAGTTAATGAAGCAGCTTGCAAACTCCTGCTACTCCGCCGTCTCCCTTTGTGCAAATGCGTTCATCAGCCCCATGCTTGCAAAAAGCTGATCTCTTCTAGTGCCACACAAAAGCCAGATGCAAATGGAAACCTGCAGGAGGGAGACTTGTCTGTAATTTGTGCTTTTAGGTTGGAATTGCCACCTCTGTTTCTGACTTCAGTGCCTCTGACCCGGGCCTGGAAAGATGAGGAGTGGGAACCTCCTGGCAGCCAAGAGCATCCTGTGGACAAAGGAGACAGGGGAACGCAGGAGCCAAACGCACACCCACACTTTGTCCTGAGGTTGGAGGGCGGCTGGGGAGGGCTGTGTACCTCTGGAAGATACAAAGGATACACAGCCGATGTTCTCTTCTGAACCCATCCTCTGCCCAGGACAAGTTGACCTGGGCACTCCTGATGCCACCACTGAGAACCTTGAGGACCTCGTGCTCCTCTGCGCCCCGCTCCCTGCCAGGAGCCCCCCAGGCCTCCTCCACACAGATACTCCTGTGTTTCAACACCCACAACGAGGCTGGTCCTGACTGACCTCCTCCAAGTCCCACTCATCTCAGGACCTTTGGATGGCCCTGACACAGCACTCAGCACCCTTGACTTTGCCAGAAAGCTCAAAGAGGTGAGCTGTCTCTTCCACTGGGATATAAGCTCCCCGAGAGTTCCTGGCACACTGACATTGCTCCTTAAATACCTGAATGGTCCAGCTAGTCTCCTGAGTTCTCCACAGGGAAGACCAAGTCACATCCTGTTCAGGGCTCTCCAACACCACCCATGAAGGCCTGATCCCCACTCTTCTTGGGGCCTAGGCCCAGATGTCTAGACTGAGCTTTTCTCATCAAGCACCAGCCTCACGACCCTGTCCTTGCCTCTGTGTACCCAGCCTGACCTAGTCCCTGCAGTTCCTGTACTGACACCCTCCCCTTCCCTTAGCCAGACCCCTAGGTGTGCACCTCTTCTCTGAGAGGTCACACTGATCATCCAGACACTCCAGTCTTAGGACCTCAGGACTAGTCCGCCCATCACTGACCACCAGCTTCTTCCACTGGGTGCCCATAGGGGCAGAGGGGAAACTAGACCACTTTCCACAGTAGTAGCACCTCACCTAGGGAAGGCCTGTCCTTCTCCACAGTCCTCCACTCCCACAACTTACCATGCACCAGTTCCCAGCTCCTGATTTAGGGCCCTCATCCCTCCAGTAACGTGAGTAAAACTCCAATATCCTAGTCTACAGACCAGAAACCTGAGGCCCAGAGAAGAGCCAAGATTTGAACCCACGTCTTCTGCCTCCAGAGAGCAGTTCACATCCTCTTGTCTTCATAGCCTCAAGGCAGGAGCTTATAGACAGGGAGAAATGACAGTTTCACCCAGCATGGCCCCCACCTGAGGCAGACAGCAGAGCTGCAGAGGGGCTGTGTTTGCGTGCATGTGTGTGTGTGTGAACATCCATGTGAGTACATCTGTGTGCATGTGCATGCCCATTTCTGTGTGCATGTGTGCATCTCTGTGTACACATCTGTGTGCATGTGCGCGTGCCTCTCTGTGTACATGTGTGTGCATGTGCACGTGCCTCTGTGTACACATCTGTGTGCATGTGTGCGTGCCTCTGTGTACACATCTGTGTGTGTGTGCGTGCCTCTCTGTGTACACATCTGTGTGTGCATGTGTGCGTGCCTCTCTGTGTACACATCTGTGTGTACGTGTGCGTACCTCTCTGTGTACACATCTGTGTGTGCGTGTGCGTGCCTCTGTGTACACATCTGTGTGTACGTGTGTGCGTGCATCTGTGTACACATCTGTGTGTACGTGTGCGCGTGCCTCTCTGTGTACACATCTGTGTGCATGTGCGCGTGCCTCTCTGTGTACACGTGTGTGCATGTGCGCGTGCCTCTCTGTGTACACATCTGTGTGTGTATGTGCGTGTGCCTCTCTGTGTACACATCTGTGTGTGAATGTGCGTGCCTCTCTGCGTACACATCTGTGTGTACGTGTGTGTGCATCTCTGTGTACACACCTGTGTGCATGTGCCTGTCTGCTGTGTGGGCCTATGCATGCACATTTCTGTGTGCATGTCTGTGTACAAATGTACATGCCTGTATGTGTGCATGCACATCTATGAATGCACCATCACACACCATTCCTGTCCCCATGAAGGGGACTAGGGCTGAGGAAGCACAAGAGCTTCAGGTCTAGCCCCTCACCTAGGAGAGAGCCCTCTAGACCAGCCCCCATCAGTTGCCATCTAGGGAGTTGAGTCAAGGTGGAGCCCCTCACCCCGCTGGTCTCCACCTCCTTCTCAACCCAGGGTCCATGATGCTGCCCTTCAACCCCCTCCTCAAACCAAGAAGGCTTCCTCAAAGTGGGCTGTATGCAGTCCCCAGACTCTAAGGTCCCGGCTCCCTCGGGCCTTTGCAGGGGCTCCAGCAGGGACACCCTCACTTTGACCATGATAAGGGGGAAGTCTCAGGTCAAGCGTCCTTCCTCGGAGGCCTGCCTGGGCCCCTTGGCTGGTTGGAATTCTCCACGCTGCACCTGTGAGCTGTGTCTGTGGATGCTTTCCGTGCCTGGCCAGTACCATTACTGAGTGTCTCAACCACAAGCTGCCTGCAGCTATTTTGCCTTCTGCAAATGATGATCCAAAGTGTCTTTATATTTCTGCCTCTATTTGGTGGTTTTCCACATTTAGCCTGCCATGTGGGGCCATTATATAGGAAATTGCTTCATCAAGAAGTGAATACCTGTAATGGGAACAGCACACATCAGGGAGAGAACATCCTGGCCATTAAGCACCGTTCCGGTGGCCACCTTCCTCTCATTTCATCCTGTGTTTGTGTAGAAGCCCTTAGCGGATGTGGGGAGGTAGGGGACAAGAAGTAGACCCTTCTTTGGGGAGCCCCCTCCAGGAAGGCTGGCACAAAGGGTCAGAAAAGAGGTTTTGATTAAGCTGAATGTCTTCAAGGTGAAGAGTCACCTGAGATCTGAAACAGAGGTCCCCCGAGGTGGGGGGTGTCTGATACTTTCTACTTTGAGCTGCCAGTGACACGAGCTTGTAGTCCACAGCAACGGTGTGGGTGGTCCCATGGTTTCTAACAGAATGTTACTTGGGGTTGTGAGATCTCCAAGTTTGAAGCCTGCTACTTTGTAATAAGTACTTGGGAAAGGAAAATAAATCTAGGGACCCCAAAATCACTAAGCCAAAGCACGTCAGGCCAACCTGCCTCCCATTTTATTCCCGAATAAGATAGTGACAAGGATTGTGTGGAAGTCTACATCCTCCCTCACAATTTCCCCACAGAGAAACTCTTCTTGGGCTTCAAGATCTTTGCCCTAAAACTGTTCTGCTGAATTTCACCCTGGCAACGTAAATGGATAGCTTCCCTTCACAGGTGCGGGACAATGGACAGGCAGAACTCATCAAAGTCATCCCACTGCCCACCTGAGACAAATGCACATCCGATGGCTTCCTCTGCCCTACTGCTTATGTAAAAATGCAGATTCACTGAGTCAGCCTAAGGCATAAGTGACTATTTCTCTACCCCCTCTCACATGTAAATTGTGTGTTCAGTGAAACACTGATCAAAGACCCAAAAGAATGCAGCTGTTTGTGTCTTATCTACCTATGGCCTGGAAGCCCACACTTTGAGTTGTCCTGCCTTTCCAGACCAAACCAATGTACATCTTGTACATATTGATTGATGTCTCATGTCACCCTTCAAATGTATAAAACCAGGCTGTGTCCCGACCACCTCGGGCACATGTCACCAGGACCTCCTGAGGCCGAGTCATGGGCCATGGTCACTCGTATTTGGTTCAGGATAAATCTCTTCAAATACTTTACAGAGTTTGACTCTTTTCGTGGACACCCTTGGCTTCCCCTCCTCAGGGGAAGCCCCTGGGCCCAGACTTGCACTGCTCAGCAAAGGCACAGAGCACAGACACCTTCGTGTGCTTGGGCCACCATCATGGGCCCACTGAAGGTTCCCTACGCGGTTAGGGTTAGGGTCACAGGTGGAGCCGCCCCTCCTTGCCCCACTGGCAGCACTCACTCCCTCCTGTGCCTCTAGGGCACCATCACTTCCGTATAAAGACTCAGCCTCTAATCAGCCTCTCTGCTCCACCCACTATCTCCTTCCCCAGGGTCATCCCGCTAAGCCAGTCTCTGGGAAGCTTTCAGACCGGGTCACAGCCCTTCTCCGAGCTGTTCTGGTGACCCTTGTTGAAGCTGGAATTGCTCAGAGCTGTTCTGGTGACCCTTGTTGAAGCTGGGATTGCACAGAGCAATTCTGGTGACCCTTGTTGAAGCTGGAATTGCTCAGAGCTGTTCTGGTGACCCTTGTTGAAGCTGGAATTGCACAAGTACATGTCATCATCTGTTCAGTGTTCGGCCAAGGTGAGGGGCTGCATGGATCTGCCTTACCCGGTGCTGAGCCCAGAGCCTGCTCAGAGAAAGTGCCAGATACACGTGGACACATGCAGAAAAGACATTGGTTAGGACCGCGGACACCCCCCACACATCTGAGGGAGGCTGCGGCTGGTGGGGGCATCACAGAGGAGGCTCAGAAAACAGACCTTCTTTGAGAAGCTGGGGGAGTAGGGAGGGGCAAGGCCGGAAGACAGGGTCCCCGCACAAAGGGCTCCATCTGCGAAGTCAGCCCTGCACCTGCCCTGGTGCCCCATCCACGCAAGCAAGCACCTGGAGCTCTCCCCACAGAGCAGCCCAAGGGGCACCAGGGAGGGCCCAGGGTCTGCAGCACCCACGGGGCCACCTCCTTCACTACCAGGCAGAGAAGGTGGTGTGGCTCCAGCACTGGCTCAGAAGCAGGGCCTCGCTGCCACCCCACACCTAGTGGGAGAGGCCCAGCCTCTCAGAGGCCTCCCACTGAAGAACAGCCCCCAGCCCCACCAAAGGGTGCCCTCACCAGAGCTGGGGGCTCCTGGAGGCCACAGGGCCAGAGGCTGGGCCACAATCCTGGTCAGTCCTCCCAATCCGCGCTGAGTACCCTCACCCTCACTCAGGGGCTGAGCCTCCAACCAGCACCCATCCCTTCTCTCCTTAGAGCAGGCCCAGGCCTGGGGTCTTGAGGGGAAGTTGGCCCATTTCCCCGGGCCTGCCCCACCCTCCCAGTCCCAGGGCCCCTGTCTCTGGGTCTGTCCCCTAGACTGCCCACCCTCCCCTCCTCAGACCCTTGAGAGAAGGAGAGATGGGGGCTGGATCTCTGGGAGAAAGGACAGAGCCAGCAGAGAAAGGCACTCCCCGCAGCAGCTGTCAGGTTCGGTGAGGGAGGTTGGGGGAGGGGGCATGAGTGTATTCAGCATCTGCCTGCAGCAGCCTGGCCACTAATTCTCCCTAATTGCTTTAAAGTTGTACTAATTGAACTGACTGAAAACAGAGTCTTGAGGGGCTGGGGAGGGCGTTGTCCGAGAAAACAGCAGCCCATCTCCCAACCCAAGAGCTGCCCAAAGCTGGCTGAAGTTCCTCAGCTGCCCAGGGCCTCAGCCAGGGTGGCTGTTTGTCCCCTGACCCCAGGCCCAGCCAAGCCCCCTCTCAGATTTAGGGTCAGGGCTGGTGGCCCAGCAAGAAGGGGCCAAGCTCAAACAAGGGCATGTCCAACCCCAAGATGGGACCCAGGATGGGACCCAGGAGGGGCTGCTCTGAGACAGGAAGGGCTGTCAGTCTCTCTTACACACGTGGAATCCACGGGCCTGCCAGTCCACTGACACACTCCACAAACACCAGCCCCACCAGTGCTGACACTGGGGGTCCTGGGGCTAACAGCGGTGCGCACAGTGCTTGGTGCACCTGCTGCATCTCGACGTGATTACGCCACATCTGTTCCCCCACCAGCCAGGAGACCCAAAGAGCAGGCCTGGGCAGGACATGGAGGGAGACATTTCGGAAGAAGGAATGGGTACGAGGGCAGGACATGGAAGGAGACATTTCGGAAGAAGGAATGGGTATGAATGAGTCCTTCCCCATTTAGTGTGTGAGCCTCCAAATCCTCTATTAGCACCCAGCCCATTATTTCCTTCTCAAGTACTCTCCTCCAACATGCATGCCAACTGTCCAAAAATGCTGGAGGCTTAGTCCAAAGCCTGGTAGGGAGGAGCTGCAGGAGAGCCTTGTCCTTCCACAGGCAGTGCTGCTGCCATTGCAACCACAAGGTGTCGCCGTGGAACACCGGTCTTGTACAGTCCTGTTGGTCTTGCTGGTTTTGCAGCACCTTTGCTGCCCTGATCCCTGCAGGCTGCTGTAGGGCCTCGGGGACCATGACTGACCAGCTCGAGCATGGCAGAGGAAGGCAGAGGCTGAGAGCTTCTAGCATTCTTCCCACGGTGTTCAGAATGCAGTCTCCCTAACCACAGGCCCACGTTGCACCTCAGTCTTCCCTTTCTCTAGAAATAAGGCCCCTGTGCAGGAGGGGCCCAGTGTCTTTTCCTCCCAGCTGACATCTGTCACGACACACACAATCCATTGGCAGGGCTCTAATAATGCTTGACCCCAAAAGTGAAGGGGCTGGTGGGACAGGCATGGTGTCTCTTCCACTGCAAGTATGTCCTCCTCCCAAGCTTATCACTGGACATTGCTGGATTCCCAGCATGGAGGGAGGCTTCAAAGGAATGTTAGCAGAGGCTCTGCCCAGAGGAACTGCTCAGCTAATTTCACTGTACTGAAGAAGCCAAGAGCAGACCCCAGAAGATTACTCGGTTCCTCTCAAATAGATCAAAAACCAAGGGCTGGGCCCTCTCACCATCCTTGGGCTCCTAGG
Organism: Homo sapiens; assembly: GCF_000001405.40. Taxonomy (NCBI): domain Eukaryota; kingdom Metazoa; phylum Chordata; class Mammalia; order Primates; family Hominidae; genus Homo; species Homo sapiens. The sequence continues at coordinate 53,621 of NT_187624.1, read as the reverse complement.
GACCTAAGGGACAGAGAAGGGCTCCCAAATATTCCTCTCCCTTTCACCTCACTTCCATGTAGAAAATCTAGGCTGACCCAGGCAGAAAGTCAAGTCTGAGCTCAGACTCCTGGACACCTGCTTTGCCACTGCATCTTCAATGCCCCCAGTGAGTACCCTGACACCCAAAAATACCCCAAAATGCTGCCTATGATCACATCCAGACACAGTGCACACCACACACATGCAACACATGAGCACATGTGTTCACATACAAAAGCACACACAGCCACTGCAACTCAATACCCCCCACAAGCCGGATGTCCAGGTCTGTGACTGACCTCAGAAGAGAAGCAGGAGAGCGGGAGAGCACTGAGCGCACGCCAGGCAGACTCATTCAGCTGAAGACAAGGGCCTCAGCCCTGCTACCACATTCTCTCCAGAGCTAGCAGGGACCCCCATCAGACTCAGTCTGAGGCCTCTGTGCACATACACTTAATCTCACCACTCACACACATATGTTCATGAACGCACACATGTGTAGCATATGCACACACAAATCACTTGAACACATGCACACACACATGCATTACTTACATGTACACAACTTTTACACATATGCACATCCTGAAATATACACATGTACACACAATGTGCATGTACACACAATGTGCATAGCTGTATGCACACATGCATGTGCACATATATACATGTACCCCTCACATGTGCACACACATGCACATATGCACATGTGAACACACTGCCCACATGCATATACACACGTGAGTACATGCACATATATACATGCACCCCTCGCATGTGCACACGCATGCACACATACACATGTGAACACACTGCCCACATGCATATACATGCATATATACACGCACCCCTCACATGTGCACACACATGCACACATGCACATATACACATGTGAACACACTGCCCACATGCATATACATGCATATATATATGCACACCCCTCACATGTGCAAACACATGCACACATACACACTGCTTATGTGCACATATACACTTGTATATTCACAAAAACCTACATGTACACACATGCATATACCACTTACACATACACACATGCACGCATGTACATACACATTAGCGTATCTGCATGAGCATATACATGTCATTCACATATGCACACGTTTACACATACATACTTTTGTGCATGTGTGTACATGCAGACACCATTCACACGTAGATGTACATGCCCACTCACCTAAACATGCATGCACTCACAGGAGCATTCTCACTCACACACATGTCCGCTAACGCTGATGTCTGCAAAGTGGGTGCTGCAGAGCACACAGAGCACACACCCTAAGACTCTGGTCCCCACCCACCTGGGGGCCTGTTAGCTCATAGGGGGGCAGGTGTCACAGTAACTGGATACAGGGTGGAACTTCCTTCCATCCAGAGGATCTCCCAGCTCAGGCTCATCCTGGAGCCAGCTCTGCAGAGGGAACATGGGGGGAGGCGACTCACACCATGACCTGTGTGGAGGTGGCCATGGTCGGGTGAACCAATGAACCAAGGTATGAGTAAGTGTAAGCTCTGTCTCAGTGCTCTGCGAGGTAATGGTGAGCGAGGGGCCACACTGAACCCAGCAAACAAGCGGCAGGAGTTGAGTATTCGGAACACGCTCCCTCTTAAGGAAAGGAAGGACCCTCAGGAACACTGGCTTAAGTTTTATGTAACCCCTGGTCTAGGAGAGAGATGGGTGGGGAGACCTCTGGGCATGCTGAGTGGGGCTGGGATAAACGCAGGAAAAGAGGGAGGCGAGGATCCCCAGGGGCCGTGAGGTTTGGGAGCCAGAGAAAAGAGTGGTCAGGAGAGCCCAGCAGGGGCATTGTTCAGGGCCTCAAACACTAGGATGCTGGACAGTCGGGGCTGGCCATGGTCAGCAGCAGAACAGAGCCTAGCCTGGGCAGGCACACCTACCAAAGCCTGGGCGGACTGGAGAGGGGGCCTACCTGCCAGGAGTCAGGCCAGGCAGTTGGGTGGGGGTACAGTTGCAGAGGGACGCCCTAGAAGCAGTAGGATTTGGGAAGTGGGAAGGCAGGAACAAGGAGAGGTAGCTGGATAATGAGCTGATTGGCAAATGAGTAAACAGCAATTGCCTGATGAAAAGTGTTTATGGTGCAATTAGCAGCTGTGCCATAAATAAAAGTTTAACTGTGTTTATTATAAACTTGTTGAGCCACAGGAAACAGCTCTCCGCGAGTGAGCCAGCCTTTAGTGCTCTATTTACTCCATGAGCCGTCTTTGGCGATGCATGACTAAGCTTCCTCTCAGCATCCATTCAATTCAGATCTTCATCCCTCTCCCGACCCCTCCCTCGGCACACACGGCCTCTTCTGCCCAAGTTCTCACCCCCACGGTGGCATGGCACAAGCACCTGTCCTCACCTGGGCTTCAGGTTCCTGGAAGTACCACCCCGCTTCCAGCCCCTGTGGCTCTCCCACCCTTCTGCCTGGCTCCTTTTCCTACAGAATTCTTCCTGGAATCCTCGAAGCCCTCCCTCTGCCCAGCCCACTGCCCCAACTCACTCTCTTCGCCACCTAGAAATGGACCCTTTTCAGCACGCTGCCTCCTCATCCTATCTCCCATCATCTTTTGTTGTTTACTTTTTAAGCATGAAAATATTCAAACACGCATTCAAAACACACTGTCAGACAGACAATGAAGAATGCTTGTCCTGTGCCCTCCTCCCCAGCGGGGGCATCTCTGAAATTGGTTTGTATCATCTCCCTGCATGTTTTCACAGTTTTTGTATCTACATACACATCCAATAACAACACATACTATTTTTTTCAGTTTACATTGATGTGATCATACAGAACAAAACCCTTTACAACTTGTTTTTATAGCTCAACTTTTTTTAAAGAGATGGAGTCTCGCTCTGTCACCCAGGCTGGAGTGCAGTGACACAGTCATAGCTCACTGCAGCCTCAACCTCCCAGACTTAAGCAATCCTCCCGCCTCAGCCTCCCAAGTAGCTGGGACTAAATCTAGGCACGCACCCTGCGCCCTACCAGCTTCAGCCTTATTCTTTTTTTTTTTTTTTTTGAGACGAAGTCTCACTGTCACCCAGGCTGGAGTGCAGTGGCACGATCTCGGCTCACGGCAAGCTCCGCCTGCCAGGTTCACGCCATTCTCCTGCCTCAGCCTCGCGAGTAGCTGGGACTACAGACACCCGCCATCACGCCCAGCTAATTTTTTTGCATTTTTAGTAGAGACGGGGGTTTCACCATGTTAGCCAGGATGGTCTCCATCTCCTGACCTTGTGATCGGCCCGCCTCCGCCTCCCAAAGTGCTGGGATTACAGGCGTGAGCCACCGCGCCCCGCCTCAGCCTTATTCTTAAGGTTTATTCAAGTTGACAGATTTTAATCCCTGTGTAGCATTACCGTCAATGAATAATCAGCTATGGCTCCTCTCCTTCCTTCAGCTATAACCCTTTGCACCTGCTCCCAGAGCCACGTGTCCCGAAGTCTCTCCACCTGCAGCACCTTCCCTGCCCTCCCCGAGGGTCCCCTGGCCTCCTCCTGGGACCCGGGGCCCTCCCTGCAGCACCTTCCCTGCCCTCCCCGAGGGTCCCCTGGCCTCCTCCTGGGACCCGGGGCCCTCCCTGCAACAGCTTCACAGCACTTTAAGTGGCAGGGGGGGAGCATAGCTGATTTTTCACTGGAGGTAATCTATGCAGGGATGAAAACACTTCTTACACACACTTTTTAAATGTTTTGAATGCTTTTAGAGTTCCTTTTCATCATAGAAGAAATAGGGTAGCACTGCCAACTTGGAAAACAGGAGAGGAAAGCACCTCTCAGGGCCTGGGCCGGTTCCACACAGCTGTGTCTCGCCCCGCAGTGAAGGCAACTATGTGCGGCCCGTGAGCCGTTCATGTTTGTGCTGTCTCTCCCACCAGCCAAGGGTGCCTGGGGGTCTCTGTCTCTCCGGGACACGCAGAAGTGGAGAGGGAGGAGGAGGGGGAGACAAGAGGAGATGGAGCAGAGAGCTCTCCAGAACTTGGCTGTGATGGGGTCGAGGCTAAGAGAGCCTTTGGTTTGTTTTTTAACAACAGACTCCTGAGTGTGTTAAGTCCAAAGAGCAGGACTCCGTGAAGGAAAGAGGGAAGAGCTGCAGCGGGGAGGCTGAACAGGTAGGAGCGGGGCTGGTACTGCCCCCAGCCAAGCCACGAGGCCTCCAGGCCTCATGCCCGTTGCCTTGGCCTCCCACCTGCTCCCTTCATTTGGGAAGACATTCCCTGCCTCCTTTCCACCTTGCACCAACCCACTCACACACCCCAGAGCCCCTTAGTCGCTCTCACTTTCTTCTTTCCTCTTCCAGGGCGGCTGTCTGCCCACACCCCTGCTATCAGCCTGTGAGCTCAGGGACTGACTCTGCTTCTGAGTACATAAAACCTCCAGTCCCAAGTGGCTACCTGGTCCACAGGCACACCCACCTTCCCCCTCAGTGGGATTTTCTGTGGGGCCTGCAGCAGGGACAGTCTCAGGTGTGGGGAGAGCCACTGCCTTGAAATCCAGCTAGCATCTTGACCCAGCCCGTGAGTCACAGGTGGGCCCCCAGCCCTGGGTCAGAGGGTGGCTAGTCATGGCGCCCACCCGGCCTGAGAACGGTGGCAGAAAGGTGAGCTGCCCCTTTCATTTCTTCCCAGGCAAAGCCTCCAGACAACAAGAGCAACATTTTAATTTAAATTCTGATTCCACATTCATTCACAGAGCAGCTCTGAGCAGGGATTTCATTAAAGGCTTTAACAGGTTTTATAGGACTTGTCACCTCAGGGAAGGTGATGGAGCAAATGCATTTTCTCTGCCTCCAGGATTTTAACAACGGCTTGAAGAAACAAACTTACCATGAAAATGCAGGGCAGTCCAGCCTTGTGCAGACAAAGGAGAAATGAGCCTCACTCGGGCAAACAGTGCTGGCGACCTCCTCTCCCTCCCTCCACCAAGGAAAACAAAAGAAGGGCAAGGCCCAGAGTGGACAGAGGCTTCTTCCCTGGGTCAGAGAAACACGAGGTCTCGGGGCCCAAATCCCAGCGCTGCCTGGAGGAAAGGACCCAGCACCTCCCAGCAAAGGCCTCTGTCCACAGCTCCCTTAGTCTGGGGCAGGGAAATCTGTCTGCACCTTGCCTTGGCTTCTTTCCCTGGGCCCTGGGGGACAACTGCCTATCCGCTTTCCCCCTCAGGAACAGGGACACATTAGCAAGGTGACCAGTGTGTCCCAGTTGGCCCAGATTGTGCTGGTTTTAAAACGGAGAGTCCTGGAAACCCCTTCACCTGGGCAAACCAGGACGGTGGAGCACGGGGCAGGACGAGCAGCAGGACGAGCAGCAGGTCAGCCCTGGGGCCCACAGCTGCCGGAGGCTTCCTGGTCACTGTCTGTTCCCAAGCGCCTGAACTTAACCCTAACCCTACCCCTAACCCAAATTCCACTCACCACTGGCAGAACTGTCCTCTGTCCTGGACTACCTCCGCCCTGGCCAGGGTGCTCAAGGCCCTGTTGGTGGTCGAGGGGTTCCTATGGATCCCGGACCCTGGCCTGGGCCTAATCGGAGCCCGCCTGGGCCTCTGACCACCATCTCTCTCTGCTCTGCTGTCAAGGACCACCCCCCGCACCCCCCCACCCGCCTTCTGCCAGGTACCTCAAGAGAAACATGGATGGCCCCCCTGGGCTCCCTACCCCGGCCACAGGGCTGTGGAGGCCACTCCCTCTGAATGCCACACCCCACACTGCACATGCCCTGCCCGCTCCCCCAACAGCAGAGTCCCTGCGGGACAATGGCCAAGCCTCTCTCACTGGGCGAGCTGCTCCCTCTCCACGGGGGCCCCAGCTACCCAGGTACAGAATTTCTAATAGTCAGAGCAAGTGTTTAGGGAACCATCAAAGCAGGACACCAAAAACAATTGTTTTAAGAATTTGGCTTTTTTTTTTAAGTGTTTAAGTTGACCTCAGGAAAATCTGCAATGTTTTAGACTTTCTTATACTGATTTTATGATTTAATATTGTTTTAATGCTTAAAGATTTTATGTCAAGAAGCATCATAACTTGGCTGGGCACGGTGGCTCATGCCTGTAATCCCAGCATTTTGGGAGGCCGAGGCGGGCCGATCACGAGGTCAGGAGATCAAAACCATCCTGGCTAACATGGTGAAACACTGTCTCTCCTAAAAATACAAAAAAAAATTAGCCAGGCATGATGGCAGGTGCCTGTAGTCCCAGCTACTCGGGAGGCTGAGGCAGGATAATGGCGTGAACCCGGGAGGCAGAGTTTGCAGTAAGCCGAGACTGCACCACTGCACTCCAGCCTGGGCAACAGAGCAAGAATGCGTCTCAAAAAGAAAAAAAAAAAAAAGAAGCATCATAACTTTTTGGCAGGAGCTCAACATACGTGCTCAGTTCCCGTGCCGCAAGAATGGGTGAGTGCAGGACAGCGCATGTGGCTCAGCACGAATCTCTCCGCTGTCCTTATTTGATAATGAGGCCTCTGCCCACCCAATGGAGGGTGAATTCCCCAAAAGTGGAGACAGGCTGGCCTTCATCTCTGTGAGACTTCCCAGAGGCAGCAGCACAGCTTAGCAGAACACAGCTTGAGGCCTGGAGTCAGCCAGTCCCGCGTTCGAATCCCAGCTCGGTGTGACCACGGGCAGGTTACTTAACCTTTCTGAAACTCAGTCTCCTCACTTAGACGGCAGGGTTGTTGTGAGTAGTAAATGAGCTCCTGAAGGTCAACACAAGGAACCTGCATACAGTAGGTGCTCGTTAAAAGTAACCGCTAGTGTCTGATTCCTCATGGCCTTGTTCCAGGGCGTGGCTAGAGCAGGGCTTCACCCGTGTGCACTGGATGAATGAATGACAACAGCCTCCCCGGCCCTCCCCACCCCCACAGACCCTGCCCCATCTATCCCAGCATCACCTGACCCCCACCCTTACCCCAAAACGCTGACATTGAGAGGTCCACAGAGCTCCCCATGGACAGCCCTGGGGTCACAAAGGCAGATTACAGCCTTGTCTAGAACAGCTTGTGGTCAGCTCATTCCACACTGGCCCTACCCTTTGGCCTCCACTAGGCCCAGACCTGAGGCCTCCAACACCCAACCGCACACTGCACCCCTGGGGGCTGAGTCCAGGTGCCCTGGGGAGCTTCTGGAAGTGCCCATCCCCCAAGTCGGTTGTTGTTGGTTCAGTAATGGAGCCACATCTGGCAAAGCTCATCCCAGCGTCCTGTGCTGCACCTGTCCAGCATCTGGCCCACCCCACTTTCCACCTCTGTGACCTGCAGGGCCACCTGCGGCTGCCTGACTCCGGGCTGCTGGGTGGGACTGGCCTGCAGGGAGCCAACTGGGAGTGGGTGTTTGCTTCCCCAGCCCTCCCTGTAGGGTCCTGCACTCGAGTCTCCCCACACCCAGGTCTCTGCTCCTGCAGGACCACCTCCCTTGCAGCCTCCCTGTGTCCTCCGAGGCCTGAGGGGTCCCACCCAGCATTAGCCTTAGTGGTTTCTCTACATGCCAACCACATCTTAGTCCCTTTATTCATCTCTCCTCAAATTTCCCAAGTTGAGGGTGACATCTGTCTCCTCCATGGATGCTAACTGACACCAATCAATCACGACCTTGGCTCTTATACCAAAATAAAGCCTGGATAGATTTAAAAAGATTTAAAAGTTTTTAATTTAAATAGTACTAGAAGAAAGCATGGGGGACGGGGGATATTATGAAAAAGATTAATTACCTCATGTAATAAAAAGAAAATTCTCTATGGCAAAACTCCTTAAGCAAAGACAAAAGTCAAATAACAAACCAGGGGAGGTGGTGCCACATACCTGTGGACCCAGCTGCTTGAGAGGCTGAGATGGGAGGATCCCTTGAGCTCAGGAGTTTGAGACCAGCCTGGGCAACACAGTGAGACCTCTGTCTCTCAAAAGAAAATTTTTTAAGAAAAAAATGAAAAAAATATCTGCAAGTATGTAGGTGTAAGTTCCTTAATATGTAAACGCCCCGTACAAATCAATAAGACAAAATCCAACAACACAATAAGAAAAATGGGTCAAGGGCCTGTAATCCCAGTATTCTGGGAGGCCGAGCCAGGCGGATCACTTGAGGTCAGGAGTTCGAGACCACCCTGGCCAATATGGCAAAACCTTGTCTCTACTAAAAATACAAAAATTAGAGCCCAAGAGTTCGAGACCAGCCTGAGCAACATAGTGAGGCCCTGTCTCTACATTTTAAAAAATTAAAGATAATAAATTTTTAAAAAGAAAGAACGAGAGACTTCACAACACACACATTAGGAAGGCATGGGCAGCAAGACACTGCCACCACCTCCGTGGTACAAGCTCTGTGGAGGGCAGTGTGACAATACGCCCTTCAAAGTTAAAACTTCAGACCCCCTCTGCCTGGCACATCTTCCTTCAGAAATCTGCCCTAAGATGTGCTCACCCACTGGGAGACGACTCATGTCCAAGGACGCCTTTGGCACCACTGTCTGTGAAAAAGAAAACGTTGAAAGCAACCTGGCTGTCTCTCAATAACGGCTAAATCGGTCAGGGGACGCCACACCATGGGCAAGGGGGCCCTAACGATGCGGGACCTCTTCAAGCCATGGTGTTTCATGCAAAGGCACAGTGCAAAGTCCCCTGACAACTGAGGGAGCGTGTGTGTTTGTGATGCGCAAAACTGAGGGAGCGTGTGTGTTTGTGACACACAAAACTGAGGGAGCGTGTGTGTGATGCGCAAAACTGAGGGAGCGTCTGTGTTTGTGACGCACATAACTGAGGGAGCGCGCGTTTGTGACGCACAAAACTGAGGGAGCATATGTGTTTGTGATGCACAAAACTGAGGAATCGTCTTTGGGATGCACGAAACTGAGGGAGCGTGTGTGTTTGTAACACACAAAACTGAGGGAGCGTGTGTGTTTGTGAAGCACAAAGCTGAGGGAGCGTGTGTGTGATGCGCAAAACTGAGGGAGCGTCTGTGTTTGTGACGCACATAACTGAGAGAGCACGCGTGTTTGTGACGCACAAAACTGAGGGAATGTGTGTGTGATGCACAAAACTGAGGGAGCGTGTGTGTTTGTGAAGCACAAAACTGAAGGAGCGTGTGTGTTTGTGACACACAAAACTGAGGGAGCGTGTGTGTGATGCGCAAAACTGAGGGAGCGTCTGTGTTTGTGACGCACAAAACTGAGGGAGCGTGTGTGTTTGTGATGTCCATAACTGAGGGAGCGTGTGTGTTTGTGAAGCACAAAACTGAGGGAGCGTGTGTGTTTGTGATGTCCATAACTGAGGGAGCGTGTGTGTTTGTGAAGCACAAAACTGAGGGAGCGTGTGTGTTTGTGATGTCCATAACTGAGGGAGCGTGTGTGTTTGTGAAGCACAAAACTGAGGGAGCGTGTGTGTTTGTGATGTCCATAACTGAGGGAGCGTGTGTGTTTGTGATGCGCAAAACTGAGGGAGCGTCTGTGTTTGTGACGCACATAACTGAGGGAGTGCGCGTGTTTGTGGCGCACAAAACTGAGGGAGCGTGTGTGTGACGCACAAAACTGAGGGAGCGTGTGCGTTTGTGATGCACAAAACTGAGGGAGCGTGTGTTTGTGATTCGTGTAACTGAGGGAGCGTGTGTGTTTGTGATGCACGGAATCACTGTCAAGGACCGGAAAGAGGAGAAGCAGAAACGCTTCCTTTTCAAGGGGAACATCACACACCGGGGACTTTTGTGGGGTGCGGGGAGAGGGGAGGGATAGCATTAGGAGATACACCTAATGCTAAATGATGAGTTAATGGGTGCAGCACACCAACACGGCACATGTATACATATGTAACAAACCTGCATGTTGTGCACATGTACCCTAGAACTTAAAGTATAATAATAATAAAATTTTTTAAAAAAAGAAATGCTTCCTTTTCACTGTATGCAGTTTTTTTGTTTTGCGCATTTTTTAAACTATTATTTATTTTTAAACTTTTACTTTTTGAATCATCTGGATGTATAACCAATTTCCCCCAAAAAAAGGAAAATAATTTTTTTTAAACGTTTTAAAATTCCTAATCCTAGGATGGTCCCAGAGTGATCCTGAAGTGCTGTGGGGAAGGGCACACTTTAAGACTCAGGCAATGGGCTGCAACCTCCTGTTCCAGGCCGACCCCCTCAGGTGCTCTCCCCACTCCCCAGAAAGGATGAGGTACCCCTGGTAAAAACCCCTGGATGGGGCAAACATGAACAGTTACTGCCACCCTCTGGTGCACGAGGAGGCAGACGCAGTCTGGAGACCCCGGGGACTCATCCCGAAACTTTAGGAAGCACCAAGGTCCCCCAAAACCCTGTTAAAACCTCATAGGGGTGCTCCAGGGCCATGTTCTGTGTGGCCCAGGGCTCACTGTGAGGGTCCACTGGGCCACCCCCACATGGTCATGTTTGCTGTGCTTTGATTTAAAAATAAGTAAATACATAAATAACCGAGTGTCCAGCCCCTCCCTGAGCTGCCTTGGGGGAGGGCCGGGTCTGAAAGTTAACTGCTCCCCAGCTGCTGAAGCAAAAAGCAGCCGAGGGCCCTTCCCAAAGCTGCTGTGGACCAAGACCCAAGCTCAAGTTCCGGGAACCCAAGGAGCAAATGCAGAGGGTCCTGAGGGTGGACAGTGAGGGGGTCTCTACAGGCCATATGGGTGGACAGTGAGGGGGTCTCTACAGGCCATGAGGGTGGACAGTGAGGGGGTCTCATAGGACATGAGGGTGGACAGTGAGGGGGTCTCTACAGGCCATGAGGGTGGACAGTGAGGGGGTCTCTACAGGCCATGAGGGTGGACAGTGAGGGGGTCTCTATAGGACATGAGGGTGGACAGTGAGGGGGTCTCATAGGACATGAGAGTGGACAGTGAGGGGGTCTCTATAGGACACGAGGGTGGACAGTGAGGGGGTCTCTATAGGACATGAGAGTTGACAGTGAGGGGGTCTCTATAGGACATGAGGGTGGACAGTGAGGGGGTCTCTATAGGACATGAGAGTGGACAGTGAGGGGGTCTCTATAGGACATGAGGGTGGAGAGTGAGGGGGTCTCATAGGACATGAGGGTGGACAGTGAGGGGGTCTCTACAGGCCATGAGGGTGGACAGTGAGGGGGTCTCTATAGGACATGAGGGTGGACAGTGAGGGGGTCTCATAGGACATGAGAGTTGACAGTGAGGGGGTCTCATAGGACATGAGGGTGGACAGTGAGGGGGTCTCTATAGGACACGAGGGTGGACAGTGAGGGGGTCTCTATAGGACATGAGAGTGGACAGTGAGGGGGTCTCTATAGGACATGAGAGTGGACAGTGAGGGGGTCTCTACAGGCCATGAGGGTGGACAGTGAGGGGGTCTCTATAGGACATGAGGGTGGACAGTGAGGGGGTCTCATAGGACATGAGAGTGGACAGTGAGGGGGTCTCTATAGGACATGAGGGTGGACAGTGAGGGGGTCTCTATAGGACATGAGAGTGGACAGTGAGGGGGTCTCATAGGACATGAGAGTTGACAGTGAGGGGGTCTCATAGGACATGAGGGTGGACAGTGAGGGGGTCTCTATAGGACACGAGGGTGGACAGTGAGGGGGTCTCTATAGGACATGAGAGTGGACAGTGAGGGGGTCTCTGTAGGACACGAGGGTGGACAGTGAGGGGGTCTGTATGGCCGGGTGGACAGTGAGGGGGTCTCTATAGGACACGAGGGTGGACAGTGAGGGGGTCTCTACAGGCCATGAGGGTGGACAGTGAGGGGGTCTCTATAGGACATGAGGGTGGACAGTGAGGGGGTCTCTATAGGACATGAGGGTGGACAGTGAGGGGGTCTCTATAGGACATGAGGGTGGACAGTGAGGGGGTCTCTATAGGACATGAGGGTGGACAGTGAGGGGGTCTCTATAGGACATGAGGGTGGAGAGTGAGGGGGACTCTACAGGCCATGAGGGTGGACAGTGAGGGGGTCTCTATAGGCCATGAGGGTGGAGAGTGAGGGGGTCTCATAGGCCATGAGGGTGGACAGTGAGGGGGTCTCTATAGGACATGAGGGTGGACAGTGAGGGGTTTTCATAGGACATGAGAGTGGACAGTGAGGGGGTCTCATAGGATTTAGAGTTGACAGTGAGGGGGTCTCTATAGGACACGAGGGGGGACAGTGAGGGGGTCTCTATAGGACATGAGAGTGGACAGTGAGGGGGTCTCTATAGGACACGAGGGTGGACAGTGAGGGGGTTTTATAGGACACGAGGGTGGACAGTGAGGGGGTCTCTTCAGGCCATGAGGGTGGACAGTGAGGGGGTCTCATAGGACATGAGGGTGGACAGTGAGGGGGTCTTTATAGGACACGAGGGTGGACAGTGAGGGGGTCTCTATAGGACATGAGGGTGGACAGTGAGGGGGTCTCTATAGGACATGAGGGTGGACAGTGAGGGGGTCTCTATAGGACATGAGGGTGGACAGTGAGGGGGTCTCTATAGGACATGAGGGTGGAGAGTGAGGGGGTCTCTACAGGCCATGAGGGTGGACAGTGAGGGGGTCTCTATAGGCCATGAGGGTGGACAGGGAGGGGGTCTCATAGGACATGAGAAGTTGACAGTGAGGGGGTCTCATAGGACATGAGGGTGGACAGTGAGGGGGTCTCTATAGGACACGAGGGTGGACAGTGAGGGGGTCTCTATAGGACATGAGAGTGGACAGTGAGGGGGTCTCTATAGGACATGAGAGTGGACAGTGAGGGGGTCTCTACAGGCCATGAGGGTGGACAGTGAGGGGGTCTCTATAGGACATGAGGGTGGACAGTGAGGGGGTCTCATAGGACATGAGAGTGGACAGTGAGGGGGTCTATATAGGACACGAGGGTGGACAGTGAGGGGGTCTCTATAGGACATGAGAGTGGACAGTGAGGGGGTCTCTATAGGACATGAGGGTGGACAGTGAGGGGGTCTCTATAGGACATGAGAGTGGACAGTGAGGGGGTCTCTATAGGACATGAGGGTGGAGAGTGAGGGGGTCTCATAGGACATGAGGGTGGACAGTGAGGGGGTCTCTACAGGCCATGAGGGTGGACAGTGAGGGGGTCTCTATAGGACATGAGGGTGGACAGTGAGGGGGTCTCATAGGACATGAGAGTTGACAGTGAGGGGGTCTCATAGGACATGAGGGTGGACAGTGAGGGGGTCTCTATAGGACACGAGGGTGGACAGTGAGGGGGTCTCTATAGGACATGAGAGTGGACAGTGAGGGGGTCTCTATAGGACATGAGAGTGGACAGTGAGGGGGTCTCTATAGGACATGAGGGTGGACAGTGAGGGGGTCTCTATAGGACATGAGAGTGGACAGTGAGGGGGTCTCTATAGGACATGAGGGTGGAGAGTGAGGGGGTCTCATAGGACATGAGGGTGGACAGTGAGGGGGTCTCTACAGGCCATGAGGGTGGACAGTGAGGGGGTCTCTACAGGCCATGAGGGTGGACAGTGAGGGGGTCTCTACAGGCCATGAGGGTGGACAGTGAGGGGGTCTCTACAGGCCATGAGGGTGGACACTGAGGGGGTCTCTATAGGACATGAGGGTGGACAGTGAGGGGGTCTCATAGGACATGAGGGTGGACAGTGAGGGGGTCTCATAGGCCATGAGGGTGGACAGTGAGGGGGTCTCTATAGGACATGAGGGTGGACAGTGAGGGGGTCTCATAGGACATGAGGGTGGACAGAGAGGGGGTCTCATAGGACATGAGGGTGGACAGTGAGGGGGTCTCTATAGGACATGAGGGTGGACAGTGAGGGGGTCTCATAGGACATGAGAGTGGACAGTGAGGGGGTCTCATAGGACATGAGAGTTGACAGTGAGGGGGTCTCTATAGGACACGAGGGTGGACAGTGAGGGGGTCTCTATAGGACATGAGAGTGGACAGTGAGGGGGTCTCTATAGGCCATGAGGGTGGACAGTGAGGGGGTCTCATAGGACATGAGGGTGGACAGTGAGGGGGTCTCATAGGACATGAGGGTGGACAGTGAGGGGGTCTCTACAGGCCATGAGGGTGGACAGTGAGGGGGTCTCTATAGGCCATGAGGGTGGACAGTGAGGGGGTCTCATAGGACATGAGAGTGGACAGTGAGGGGGTCTCTATAGGACACGAGGGTGGACAGTGAGGGGGTCTCTATAGGACATGAGGGTGGACAGTGAGGGGGTCTCTATAGGCCATGAGGGTGGACAGTGAGGGGGTCTCATAGGACATGAGAGTTGACAGTGAGGGGGTCTCTATAGGACACGAGGGTGGACAGTGAGGGGGTCTCTATATGACATGAGAGTGGACAGTGAGGGGGTCTCTATAAGACACGAGGGTGGACAGTGAGGGGGTCTCTACAGGCCATATGGGTGGACAGTGAGGGGGTCTCTATATTTTTTTGTTGGTGGACAGTGAGGGGGTCTCTATAGGACACGAGGGTGGACAGTGAGGGGGTCTCTATAGGACATGAGGGTGGACAGTGAGGGGGTCTCTATAGGACACGAGGGTGGACAGTGAGGGGGTCTCTATAGGACATGAGGGTGGACAGTGAGGGGGTCTCTATAGGACATGAGGGTGGACAGTGAGGGGGTCTCTATAGGACATGAGGGTGGACAGTGAGGGGGTCTTTACAGGCCACGAGGGTGGACAGTGAGGGGGTCTCTATAGGACACGAGGGTGAACAGTGAGGGGGTCTCTATAGGACATGAGAGTGGACAGTGAGGGGGTCTCTATAGGACATGAGGGTAGACAGTGAGGGGTTTTTATAGGACATGAGGGTGGACATTGAGGGGGTTTCTACAGGCCATGAGGGTGGACAGTGAGGGGGTCTCTATAGGACATGAGGGTGGACAGTGAGGGGTTCTCATAGGACATGAGAGTTGACAGTGAGGGGGTCTCATAGGACATGAGGGTGGACAGTGAGGGGGTCTCTATAGGACACGAGGGTGGACAGTGAGGGGGTCTCTATAGGACATGAGGGTGGACAGTGAGGGGGTCTCTATAGGACATGAGAGTGGACAGTGAGGGGGTCTCTACAGGCCATGAGGGTGGACAGTGAGGGGGTCTCTATAGGCCATGAGGGTGGACAGTGAGGGGGTCTCATAGGACATGAGAGTGGACAGTGAGGGGGTCTCATAGGACATGAGGGTGGACAGTGAGGGGGTCTCTATAGGACATGAGGGTGGACAGTGAGGGGGTCTCATAGGACATGAGAGTGGACAGTGAGGGGGTCTCATAGGACATGAGAGTTGACAGTGAGGGGGTCTCTATAGGACACGAGGGTGGACAGTGAGGGGGTCTCTATAGGACATGAGAGTGGACAGTGAGGGGGTCTCTATAGGCCATGAGGGTGGACAGTGAGGGGGTCTCATAGGCCATGAGGGTGGACAGTGAGGGGGTCTCATAGGCCATGAGGGTGGACAGTGAGGGGGTCTCATAGGACATGAGGGTGGACAGTGAGGGGGTCTCTACAGGACATGAGGGTGGACAGTGAGGGGGTCTCATAGGACATGAGGGTGGACAGTGAGGGGGTCTCATAGGACATGAGAGTTGACAGTGAGGGGGTCTCTATAGGACATGAGAGTGGACAGTGAGGGGGTCTCTACAGGCCATGAGGGTGGAGAGTGAGGGGGTCTCATAGGACATGAGGGTGGACAGTGAGGGGGTCTCATAGGCCATGAGGGTGGACAGTGAGGGGGTCTCTATAGGACACGAGGGTGGACAGTGAGGGGGTCTCTATAGGACACGAGGGTGGACAGTGAGGGGGTCTCTATAGGACACGAGGGTGGACAGTGAGGGGGTCTCTATAGGACACGAGGGTGGACAGTGAGGGGGTCTCTACAGGCCATGAGGGTGGACAGTGAGGGGGTCTCTATAGGACATGAGGGTGGACAGTGAGGGGGTCTCTATAGGACACGAGGGTGGACAGTGAGGGGGTCTCTATAGGACATGAGGGTGGACAGTGAGGGGGTCTCTATAGGACATGAGGGTGGACAGTGAGGGGGTCTCTACAGGCCATGAGGGTGGACAGTGAGGGGGTCTCATAGGACATGAGGGTGGACAGTGAGGGGGTCTCTATAGGACATGAGGGTGGACAGTGAGGGGGTCTCATAGGACATGAGAGTGGACAGTGAGGGGGTCTCATAGGACATGAGAGTTGACAGTGAGGGGGTCTCTATAGGACACGAGGGTGGACAGTGAGGGGGTCTCTATAGGACATGAGAGTGGACAGTGAGGGGGTCTCTATAGGCCATGAGGGTGGACAGTGAGGGGGTCTCATAGGACATGAGGGTGGACAGTGAGGGGGTCTCATAGGACATGAGGGTGGACAGTGAGGGGGTCTCTACAGGCCATGAGGGTGGACAGTGAGGGGGTCTCTATAGGATAAGAAAAGGGGCAGTGAGGGGGTCTCTACAGGCCATGAGGGTGGACAGTGAGGGGGTCTCATAGGACATGAGGGTGGACAGTGAGGGGGTCTCTACAGGCCATGAGGGTGGACAGTGTTGGGGTCTCTACAGGCCATGAGGGTGGACAGTGAGGGGGTCTTTATAGGACATGAGGGTGGACAGTGAGGGGGTCTATATAGGACACGAGGGTGGACAGTGAGGGGGTCTCTATAGGACACGAGGGTGGACAGTGAGGGGGTCTCTATAGGACATGAGGGTGGACAGTGAGGGGGTCTCTATAGGACATGAGGGTGGACAGTGAGGGGGTCTCTATAGGACACGAGGGTGGACAGTGAGGGGGTCTCTATAGGACATGAGGGTGGACAGTGAGGGGGTCTCTATAGGACATGAGGGTGGACAGTGAGGGGGTCTTTATAGGACATGAGGGTGGACAGAGAGGGGGTCTCTATAGGACATGAGGGTGGAGAGTGAGGGGGTCTCTACAGGCCATGAGGGTGGACAGTGAGGGGGTCTCTATAGGCCATGAGGGTGGACAGTGAGGGGGTCTCTATAGGACATGAGGGTGGACAGTGAGGGGGTCTCATAGGCCATGAGGGTGGACAGTGAGGGGGTCTCTATAGGACATGAGGGTGGACAGTGAGGGGGTCTCATAGGACATGAGGGTGGACAGTGAGGGGGTCTCTATAGGCCATGAGGGTGGACAGTGAGGGGGTCTCTACAGGCCATGAGGGTGGAGAGTGAGGGGGTCTCATAGGACATGAGAGTTGACAGTGAGGGGGTCTCTATAGGACACGAGGGTGGACAGTGAGGGGGTCTCTATAGGACATGAGAGTGGACAGTGAGGGGGTCTCTACAGGCCATGAGGGTGGACAGTGAGGGGGTCTCTATAGGCCATGAGGGTGGACAGTGAGGGGGTCTCATAGGACATGAGAGTTGACAGTGAGGGGGTCTCTATAGGACATGAGGGTGGACAGTGAGGGGGTCTCTATAGGACATGAGAGTGGACAGTGAGGGGGTCTCTACAGGCCATGAGGGTGGACAGTGAGGGGGTCTCATAGGACATGAGAGAGGCCAGGAGAAGTCTGGGACAGGGGAGGCTGTGACCCCCACCAGGTCCCCTAAACCTGGGCTCAGTGTGGAGTCTCAGCCTCACCCTCATGGGCTGCCCAGCCCCTCCTGGCCCACCTACAACAGCCTGCACCCCTGTGAACAACTATCCACAGCCCAGCAGCTATCCTCATTTTGTCTCATGCCCAGCCCAGAGCACATGCCCAGCTAAACACAGAGCAGCACAGTACCAGTGTGGCCACCAGATGGCCCAGATCATCTGCTTCCCAGGGTAGCACTGCAGGGCATCCACACTGGGCATGTCCACCCCTAGCGTGTCAATACTCCAGTGCCTCTACGTACACACGCACACGCCTGGATACTCCAGTGCCTCTATGCACACACATGAACACGCCTGGATACTCCAGTGCCTCTACTCACACACGCACACGACTAGATACTCCAGTGCCTCTACTCACACACATGAACACGCTGGATACTCCAGTGCCTCTACTCACACACACACACGACTAGATACTCCAGTGCCTCTACTCACACACGCACACGCCTGGATACTCCAGTGCCTCTACTCACACACGCACACGCCTGGATACTCCAGTGTACTCCAGTGCCTCTACTCACACACATGAACATGCCTGGATACTCCAGTGCCTCTACGCACACACATGCACACACCTGGAGCCCAGGATTGCCAGTGGCCATTGCCATCGCCCTTGTGCTGAACAAGAAAGCGTCAGTGGTCCAGGACAAATGCACCAAAATTCCACCTTTAACATCCAGCATAGTCTTCCACTCGACCTCTTGTTCTTCCTGAGTGACCCCTGCCAGGAGGCGCAGAGGCCCCACTGGCCTCCCCAGAAGCGGGCATGCCTCTGTCACACTCACCCTGTTCTCTGTTCTCAGGCCCAGGGGTTAAAACCAACACAAGTTAAATAAAACCTCTGGCCTGAGGGTCATAGTTTCGTCTTCAAAATGTGTGCTTTAACCTTTTCCAGAATTAGGCTTTTTAAAGAAGCCTCCCATTGCCTTTAGGAAAACAGTTCAAAGGTTCTCCATGACCCAGCACCTCCTTCCCCTACCCCCCATTCCTGGGACATCTGCGTGTGTGGTTTCCTCTGTCTGGAGCAGCCCCTTCCACGCACACTGCATGGTCTCTTAGGGCTCCATAATAAAGGACCACAGACTGGCTTAAACAATAGAAAATTATTCTCTTAGTTCTGGAGGCCGGAAGTCTGGAATCCAGTATTGTCAGGGCTGCATTCCCTCCGAAGACTCCAGGGATGACCGTTCCTCACCTCCTCTAGTTTCTGGCAATCCTGGATGCTCCCTGGCTCACAGACGCATCCCTCCAGCCTCCACCACTTCTGTCTTCACACAGCACTGTCCTCTGCATCTTCTGTGTCCAAATTTCCCTCTTCTTGTAAGGACACCCAAGTCCACCATGGTCTCAAATGGACTAATTAAATCTGCAAAGACCCCACTTCCAAACAAGGTCACACTCACAGGTGCTGGGGGTTGAGACTCCAACTTTTTTTTTTTTTTTTTTTTTGACGGAGTCTCACTCTGTCGCCAGGCTGCAGTGCAGTGGCACAATCACGGTTCACTGCAACCCCCGCCTCCCGTGTTCAAGTGATTCTTCAGCCTCAGCCTCCCGAGTAGCTGGGACTACAGGCGCCTGCCACCTCACCCGGCTAATTTTTGTATTTTTTTAGTAGAGACGGGGTTTCATTATGTTGGCCACGATGGTCTCGATCTCTTGACCTCGTGATCCACCCGCCTCAGCCTCCCAAAGTGCCGCGATTACAGGCGTGAGCCACCGCGCCCGGCTGAGGCTCCAACATATCTTTTAGGAGACACAACTCAACCCCCAACAATAATGAATGAAGAAGCCTGTTGAGCGTTAGGAGCCCAGTTCCAAGGAGGACCCAAACCACGATCGACAATCCAGGGTGTGAAATAGACATCCACAAAACACTCATCTACTTCATTCCTCTGGACAAAACTCCTTTGCAGTTCTAGAACAAGAATTGTTTGCGTTACTATCAGTTTTCTGCAATTGTCCCACCAAAGGGGCTGCTCCGGCTCTGGCTGAGCATCCTCCACCCTCTCCAACCTTTGGCCACCAAGTGTCCCCAAGCCCCTGGGATGCTCCCCATCACCAGTTTGGCCAGGTCCCACTGGCCTGGATCTTCCCACATGTGTGGTGATGGAGGAGGCTCAGAGGGGTCTGTGGAACGGGACTTAACAGGTCTCAAGTGTCTCAAACTAATCTGGGCCCCCAAGGTGGCTGACTGAGGTCTCAGCTGCTTCCCAGTGGGGCAGACGGAGCATGAAGCTCTAAGAGCAGCACCCGTGGTCATGCCCTGCATCTCAGACAGGAGGGGAGACGGTGGAGTGGCATCTGGGCAGGTGCCTGGAGCCAGGAGGGACAGTAGATGCGGGAGGTGTGACACACCAGGCAGGAGCCTGAGGGTGGCCAGACAGACCAGGACCAAGCAGGGGCCAACGCAGCACAAGGGGCTCCAGGAACGAACAGCCAGAGGGGCTGTGATTTGAGTGAAGGTGTCATCCCTGGAGTGTGGGGAGTTCAAGACCAGCCTGGGCAACATGGCGAGACCCCGTCTCTACTAAAAATTAAAAATTAGCCAGGTGTGGTGGCTCACACTTCTGGTCCAGCTACTTGGAAGGCTGAGATGGGAGGATCACTTTGCCAGACGTTGAGGCTACAATGAGCCCTGATGTGACCCACGCCACTCCTGCCTGGGCAACAGAGCAAGACTCTGTCTCCAAAAAGAAAAGAATGCCAATTTCACAGAACTCTTTGAGGAAACTGAAGAAGAGGGACCGTCTCCCAACTCATTCATTGAGGCCAAGATTACTCTGATACCAAAAGCACCACAAGAAAAAAAATTACAGACCAATATCCCTCATAAACACAGATGCAAAAATTATTAACAACATTTTAGTAAATCAAAATCCATCAATATTTGAAAAAATACTATAATATGACCAAGCAGAGTTTATTCCAGAATGCAAGGTTAGTTTAACAAAATCAGTGTGATTCGTTATATTAACAAACTAAAAAAGGAAACACATGATTATCATAATAGACGCAGAAAAAGCATTTGACAAAATCTAAAATCCATCCCTCATAAAGACTCTCAGCAAACTAGGAATAGGAGAATGTGTCAGCCTGATATGAAAAACCCAAGTTAAATCTTAATCCATGTCTCTCCTCAGAGCAAGACGGAGGCAAGGATGTTCAATTCTACTCAACATTGTACTGGACACTCTAACCAAACCAATAAGGCAAGAAAAAGAAATAAAAGGTGTCCAGGTTAGAAATAAAAAATTGTCTAATTCACAGACATGATCATCTGTGTAGAAAGTTGGGTATAATCCACAAAAAAGCTACTAGAACTAATAAGCAACTTCAGCAAAGTTTCAGGATACAAAATCAATACACAAAAATCTATGGGATTTCTATATCCTAGAAACGAATAATCAAATGAACATTTTTAAAAACAATGCTATTTATAATAGCATCAAAAAATGAAATACCTAGAAATACAACTGACAGAAGCCATACATTAAAAACCGTAAAACTGCTGAGAGAAATTAAAGATGTAAATAGGAGTTATGCTGTGTTCATGCATCAGAAAACTCCATATGCCGATTCTACCCAAACTCATCTATAGATTTAATGCAATTAAAATTGCAAGAGGCTTTTTTCTGGAAATTAACAAACTGATTCCAAAATTTGCATAGAAATTTGCAAAGAACCTATAATCCCCTAACAACTTTGAAAAATGAAGTTAGAGGGACTGACACTACCTGACCTCAAAACAGAGTATAAAGCTATAGTAATCAAGACAGTGTGGTATTTGAGTATAAAGCTATAGTAATCAAGACAGTGTGGTATTTGAGTATAAAGCTGTAGTAATCAAGACAGTGTGGTATTTGAGTATAAAGCTGTGGTAATCAAGACAGTGTGGTATTTGAGTATAAAGCTGTGGTAATCAAGACAGTGTGGTATTTGAGTATAAAGCTATAGTAATCAAGACAGTGTAGTATTTGAGTATAAAGCTGTGGTAATCAAGACAGTGTAGTATTTGAGTATAAAGCTATAGTAATCAAGACAGTGTGGTATTTGAGTATAAAGCTATAGTAATCAAGACAGTGTAGTATTTGAGTATAAAGCTGTGGTAATCAAGACAGTGTAGTATTTGAGTATAAAGCTGTGTTAATCAAGACAGTGTAGTATTTGAGTATAAAGCTGTAGTAATCAAGACAGTGTGGTATTTGAGTATAAAGCTGTAGTAATCAAGACAGTGTGGTATTTGAGTATAAAGCTATAGTAATCAAGACAGTGTGGTATTTGCGTATAAAGCTGTGGTAATCAAGACAGTGTGGTATTTGAGTATAAAGCTGTGGTAATCAAGACAGTGTGGTATTTGAGTATACAGCTGTGGTAATCAAGACAGTGTGGTATTTGAGTATACAGCTGTGGTAATCAAGACGGTGTGGTATTTGAGTATAAAGCTGTGGTAATCAAGACAGTGTAGTATTTGAGTATAAAGCTGTGGTAATCAAGACAGTGTGGTATTTGAGTATAAAGCTGTAGTAATCAGACAGTGTAGTATTTGAGTATAAAGCTGTGGTAATCAAGACAGTGTGGTATTTGAGTATAAAGCTGTAGTAATCAGACAGTGTAGTATTTGAGTATAAAGCTATAGTAATCAAGACAGTGTGGTATTTGAGTATAAAGCTGTGGTAATCAAGACGGTGTAGTATTTGAGTATAAAGCTGTGGTAATCAAGACGGTGTAGTATTTGAGTATACAGCTGTGGTAATCAAGACGGTGTGGTATTTGAGTATAAAGCTGTAGTAATCAAGACAGTGTAGTATTTGAGTATAAAGCTGTGGTAATCAAGACGGTGTGGTATTTGAGTATAAAGCTGTAGTAATCAGACAGTGTAGTATTTGAGTATAAAGCTGTAGTAATCAAGATAGTGTGGTATTTGAGTATAAAGCTGTAGTAATCAGACAGTGTAGTATTTGAGTATAAAGCTATAGTAATCAAGACAGTGTAGTATTTGAGTATAAAGCTGTGGTAATCAAGACAGTGTGGTATTTGAGTATAAAGCTGTAGTAATCAGACAGTGTAGTATTTGAGTATAAAGCTATAGTAATCAAGACAGTGTGGTATTTGAGTATAAAGCGGTGGTAATCAAGACAGTGTGGTATTTGAGTATAAAGCTGTGGTAATCAAGACAGTGTAGTATTTGAGTATACAGCTGTGGTAATCAAGACGGTGTAGTATTTGAGTATACAGCTGTGGTAATCAAGACGGTGTGGTATTTGAGTATAAAGCTGTGGTAATCAAGACAGGGTGGTATTTGAGTATAAAGCTGTAGTAATCAGACAGTGTAGTATTTGAGTATAAAGCTATAGTAATCAAGACAGTGTAGTATTTGAGTATAAAGCTATAGTAATCAAGACAGTGTAGTATTTGAGTATAAAGCTGTGGTAATCAAGACAGTGTGGTATTTGAGTATAAAGCTATAGGAATCAAGACAGTGTGGTATTTGAGTATAAAGCTGTGGTAATCAAGACAGTGTGGTATTTGAGTATAAAGCTGTGGTAATCAAGACGGTGTAGTATTTGAGTATAAAGCTGTGGTAATCAAGACGGTGTGTTATTTGAGTATAAAGCTGTGGTAATCAAGACAGTGTGGTATTTGAGTATAAAGCTTTGGTAATCAAGACGGTGTGGTATTTGAGTATAAAGCTGTGGTAATCAAGACGGTGTGGTATTTGAGTATACAGCTGTGGTAATCAAGACGGTGTGGTATTTGAGTATAAAGCTGTAGTAATCAAGATGGTGTAGTATTTGAGTATAAAGCTGTAGTAATCAAGACAGTGTAGTATTTGAGCCAGGCATGGTGGCTGACACCTGTAATCCCAGCACTGCTACTAAAAAAACAAAACAAAAAAAAAAAACTAGCAAAGTGTGTCCGGGCGCAGTGGCTCACACCTGTAATCCCAGCACTTTGGGAGGCCAAGGTGGGTGGATCATGAGGTCAGGAAATCGAGACCATCCTGGCTAACACAGTGAAACCTCATCTCTACTGAAAATACAAAAAAATTAGCTGGGTGTGGTGGTGCACACCTGTAATCCCAGCTACTTGGGAGGCTGAGGCAGGAGAATCGCTTGAACCCAGGAGACAGAGGTTGCAGTGAGCCGAGATAGCACCACTGCACTCCATCCTGGGCAATAGAGGGAGACTCTGTTTCAAAAAAAAAAAAAATGAAATCCTAAGGCCCCCACCAACTCAACAGACCCCCTCTTGGCCAAGGGAACCCCAGAAAACCTTAAAAACTGAATCCCTGGCCATGATGGGAAGGGAAGTTGGACACATCTCATCATACATCTCAGGCATTAATGTTAAAATAGATTTCATAAGACCAACAAAACAAACTATTTGTGACAATAAGATATCAAATTATAAACAGGACCTAAGGCTGTGCCAGACAGGAGTTAAGTCACACACCCCTATGGGTTAAGAAGCTTATATCTTAACTCAAAACATTCCTTTCTGCTGACTCCAATTTTTTAATTAAACTTTATACCTTTAACCAGTTGCAAATTAAAGAATCTCTGAATCAACATATAACCTGTACACCCTGCTTCAAGATACCCTGCCATTTGGGGCCAAACCAATGTCTACCTTCTATGTATTGATTTCTGTCTTTGCCTGTAACTCCTGCCTCTCTGAAAACTATGAAACCAAAGTATAATCTGACTGCTGGGGGCACACTTTCTCAGGACCTCTCAAAACTGTGTTCTCCAGGCTTTCTCAGGAAACTCGAAACTGTGTTCTCCAGGCTTTCTCAGGACCTCTCGAAACTATGTTCTCCAGGCTTTCTCAGGAAACTCAAAACTGTGTTCTCCAGGCTTTCCCAGGACCTCTCGAAACTGTGTTCTCCAGGCTTTCTCAGGAAACTCGAAACTGTGTTCTCCAGGCTTTCCCAGGACCTCTTGAAACTGTGTTCTCCAGGCTTTCCCAGGACCTCTCGAAACTGTGTTCTCCAGGCTTTCCCAGGACCTCTCGAAACTATGTTCTCCAGGCTTTCCCAGGACCTCTCGAAACTGTGTTCTCCAGGCTTTCTCAGGAAACTCGAAACCATGTTCTCCAGGCTTTCTCAGGAAACTCGAAACTGTGTTCTCCAGGCTTTCCCAGGACCTCTTGAAACTGTGTTCTCCAGGCTTTCCCAGGACCTCTCGAAACTGTGTTCTCCAGGCTTTCTCAGGACCTCTCGAAACTATGTTCTCCAGGCTTTCCCAGGAAACTCGAAACTGTGTTCTCCAGGCTTTCTCAGGACCTCTCGAAACTGTGTTCTCCAGGCTTTCTCAGGACCTCTCGAAACTGTTCTCCAGGCTTTCTCAGGAAACTTGAAACTGTGTTCTCCAGGCTTTCCCAGAACCTCTCGAAACCATGTTCTCCAGGCTTTCTCAGGACCTCTCAAAACCGTGTTCTCCAGGCTTTCTCAGGACCTCTCGAAACCGTGTTCTCCAGGCTTTCCCAGGACCTCTCGAAACTGTGTTCTCCAGGCTTTCTCAGGAAACTCAAAACTGTGTTCTCCAGGCTTTCTCAGGACCTCTCGAAACCGTGTTCTCCAGGCTTTCCCAGGACCTCTCGAAACTGTGTTCTCCAGGCTTTCTCAGGACCTCTCGAAACTGTTCTCCAGGCTTTCTCAGGAAACTCGAAACTGTGTTCTCCAGGCTTTCCCAGGACCTCTCGAAACCATGTTCTCCAGGCTTTCTCAGGACCTCTCGAAACCGTGTTCTCCAGGCTTTCTCAGGACCTCTCGAAATCGTGTTCTCCAGGCTTTCTCAGGACCTCTCGAAACCGTGTTCTCCAGGCTTTCCCAGGAGCTCTCGAAACCGTGTTCTCCAGGCTTTCTCAGCACCTCTCGAAACTGTGTTCTCCAGGCTTTCTAAGGAAACTCAAAACTGTGTTCTCCAGGCTTTCTCAGGACCTCTCGAAACTGTTCTCCAGGCTTTCTCAGGAAACTCGAAACTGTGTTCTCCAGGCTTTCTCAGAACCTCTCGAAACTGTTTTCTCCAGGCCATGGTCATTCATATTGACTCAGAATAAACCTCTTTAAAATATTTTACAGAATCTGTTTTTTTCCATTAACGTTATTGAGTTTTGAGAGTTCTTGATATACTCTGGATACAAGTCCTTTATCAAATATGTGATTTGCAAAAATTGTCTTACAGCCTTGGGCTTGTCTTTTCATTTTCTTAGCAGTGTCTTTGGAATAGCAGAAGTTCTTAGTTTTGATGAAACATCTTATTTATTTGATGGATTATGTTTTGATATCCTATCTAATAATGTTTTGCCTGATCTAAGTTTGCAAAGGTTTTCTTCTATGTCCTCTTATAGAAGTTTTATAATTTTAGCTTTTACATTTAGGTTTATGATCCATATTGACAATATTTTAATATAGTACAAGGTATGGATCAAAGTTCATTTTTTTGCATATGGATATCCAACTGTTTAGCATCATTTACTGAGAACAAAACTTGCCTTTATTGAATTGCCTTTGCAGCTTTGTTGAAAATCACTTGCTCATATTTGTGGGTCTATTTCTGGTATCTCTAATTTGTTCTATTGATCTGTCTATCTTGATGCAAATACCACACTGTCTTTTTTTAAAATATTATTTCTTTTATCATGATACTTCTCTTTCTTCTTTCTTTTTTTTTTTTTTTTTGACAGTGTCTCACTCCGTCACCCAGGCTGGAGTGCAGTAGTGAGATCTCAGCTCACTGCAACCTCCGCCTCCCAGGATCAAGTGATTCTCGTGCCTCAGCCTCCTGAGTAGCTGGAATTACAGGTGTGTGCCACCACGCCTGGCTACATTTTTTGTATTTTTAGTAGAGACGGGGTTTCACCATGTTGGCCAGGCTGATCTCAAACTCCTGACCTCAAGTGATCCACCCACCTCAGCCTCCCCAGGAGCTGAGAACTCTGGCAGGGAGACTCTGTGGTGTAGGAACCCCAGGTCTCCAGCCATGTCTGAAAAACAGTGTTAACCCACGGCTTCACCCCAGCTTTGAAACACCTGGGTGTTCTTCAGAAATACCTGCTATAGTTTGGACGTTTGTCCCCGAACCTCATGTTGAAATTTAATCCCCGATGTTGGAGGCGGGGCCTGGTGGGAGGTGTTCGGGTCATAGGGAAGGATCCAGAATGAATGGTTTAGTGCCCTCCTCATGGTGATGAGTGAGTTCTTGCTCTATTAGTTCCCACACGAGCTGGTTGTTTTAAAAAAATCCTGGCATCGCCCCTCTCTCTCGCCTCTTCTCTTACCATGAGACACCTCCCGCCATGAGTGCACGCTCCCTGAGGCCTCCCCAGAAGCAGGTGCCGGCACCGTGCTTCCCGTACACCCTGCAGAACCGTGAGCCAAACAAACCTCTTTTCTTTATAATGGCCCAGCCTCTATCCTTCTCCTCACCTAGGAAAAAGAAAAAGAAATTACCCAGCCTCAGATATTCCTTCATAGCAACACAAAACTAGGACAACACTGGTGCCCAGGCCCCAGCCCAGACCAAGCACATCAGAGCCTGGGCATGGGGGTGGAACCAGCTCCAGTGAGCTCCTGAAGTCCCCAGGGGATTCTGTGCACATCCAGGGTGGAGAACTTGGCCGTAGACAGTCCAGACAAAAATATTCTTTATACGATTAGCACAGAGTTGTTGTTTAAACTCAGTGGTAAGAACAGAACACAAGAGTTTTAACAGGAGTCATAGTTTTCACCATTAAGAATCTTTACCTACTATTGGAATCCAGGTACACACATTTACCCTGGGGTTTAATTTGCTGTGTAAAATTGACTTGGTTCTTTTACAAATTGCTGGCAAGTTGAGGTTGGGGCCACCACAAAACAAGTCTCTAGCAAGACAAAGAGCATAGTTGTGTGTTTGGGTCTCTCCACACCAGAATGGAGCTCCTTGTGGGCAGAGGCTGGCTTGCCCCTTGTCTTAGTCTGTTTCCTGCTGCTTATAACAGAAACTGGGTAATTTAAAAGAAACAAAATGTATTTCTTACAGTTCTGCGGGCTGGGAAGTCCAAGGTCAATGGGCCACATCTGGTGAGGTTTTCTTGCTGGTGGGAACCCCAGAGTCCCAAGGCAGTGCAGGGCGTCGCATGGTGAGGGGCTGAGCGTGCTGGCTCAGGTCTCTCTCTTCTTATAAAGCTACTAGCCCCACTCCTATGATAACCCATTAATCTATAAATAAATTAATCTATTCATGAGGGCAGAGCTCTTGTGACCCAATCACCTCTTAAAGGCCCCACCTCTCAATACTGCCACATTGGGGATTAAATTCCAACTTGAGTTTTGGAGGTGACAAATATTCAAACCACAGCATCCTTAAATCATCAGAGACTGGCCTGCCTGCCCCCATGTCCACTCGAAAATGAATGCCGCGCAAGCCCCCACCCCCACCCTACTGAATGGTCCCTTTTCCTCTGCAGCAGTTCTCGGAACTGGCCACTGGGGGTCAGGGTTGGTCCGCGTCGCACAGAACCTGGCTCAGCCAGGAGCCACAGGAAGGACCCTGTTCCTCTACCCCAGCCAAGGGAAAACGGCGGCCCCTCTGTGGTTCAGCAGAGCTAGTCCAGGAACAGTGGGGCTTCAAAGTGCTTCCCCTCCATGGCAGAGCCAGCGCTGGCCTGCTGGTCTCCCAATTCTTTGCCCAGGCTAAGAAGGGCGCACACACACACACACACACACACACACACACACACACTCTCTCTCTCTCTCTCTCTCTCTCTCTCTCTACCTCCGGGAAGTTCTCCCTGCCTGTGGCTTGCAGCTTGCTGCCGCTCACCAGCCTCCCGTCCTACTCACAGCTGACTTGAGGTCAGTGCTCCCTCCAAGCATCCACCTGAGCTGCCCAGGCCCAAGGCCGAAACCCCAGACCAGGTCCAGAGCAGCACGGGCAGGTGGGACCTCAGATGGGGCTGGCCCAACACGTGCAAGCCTCCAGCCTGAGGCAGGAAAATTACGATCCCCATTTGACAAGTGAGGAGACAGAGGCTCAGAGAGGTTGGGTAACTCACCCTGGGCCACACAGCAAGGAAAAAGCCAGTCCCAGACCTGTACTCCTGACCTCCACCTGGTCTGCTCCCCTCAGGAGACTATCTAGGCCACAGTGGCACCCTTGACTGGCCTGAGTTGGGAGCACAGGTCCACAGGGCTCTTTACCCGGTTCCACGGCAACAGTCCCCAGGCCACATACCTATGAGCACAGTTTGGACAGTGGAGCAGTCTCTGGCCCGACCACAGGCAGCACCCCAGGAACTCCACGTGCCTTCGGGGTGCACTCAAGTGGGTGGGGAAGAGGGGCCTAGAGCTCCACCTCAGCCTCCTTTGTCCTGAGTGAGCAGGGCCCCACTCACCTCCCCGAGCAGCCAGAGATGTGACGGAGCCTCTGTGGGCAGAAAACATCTCCCAGGTGATAAGCAGCAGGTATGAGGTCTCCCTGGTGAGAGTGTGAGCTCCCCACATTCAACACTGCCGGAGCCCTGAGAGGAAGCCACAGGCTCTGGGAAGCTCCGTGCGGAAGCTGAGTGCCCTGTTGCTCCACGGTTAGCAAGCACGCTCCAGGGAAACTCCATCAGAGCCTCCTGTTCCCATCTGCTAGATGGGATGACAGTAGTACTGCCCCTGGCCATTGTGGAGACAAAATGAAACACGGATGTATCTTTAGCTGTCAGCACCCGGCACATAGGAGGCATTCAGAACCAGAGACAGACCAGGAGGAGGCTCAGATCCCAGGAGTCGGCAAAGGTGGAGATGGAAGGAAGTGAGGTGGGATGGGGCCCAGCCATGCTGGAGGAACTGGGGCTGTCTTCTGGCTGAGCCCAGGCCTGCCCCCCTCCCGACATCAGGGTGCCCTCATGCCCCACACAGCTTTGCCCAGGCCCTCCCCACCACATCAGGGTGCCCTCATGCCCCGCACAGCTTTGCCCAGACACCCCCCCCCACATCAGGGTGCCCTCATGCCCCGCACAGCTTTGCCCAGACACCCCCCCAACATCAGGGTGCCCTCATGCTCCGCACAGCTTTGCCCAGACACCCCCCCCAACATCAGGGTGCCCTCATGCCCCGCACAGCTTTGCCCAGGCCCCCCCGCCACATCAGGGTGCCCTCATGCCCTGCACAGCTTTGCCCAGACACCCCCCACCATATCAGGGTGCCCTCATGACCCGCGCAGCTTTGCCCAGACACCCCCCCCCAACATCAGGGTGCCCTCATGCCCCGCGCAGCTTTGCCCAGACACCCCCCCCAACATCAGGGTGCCCTCATGCCCCGCACAGCTTCGCCCACGCCCCCCCCCGCCACATCAGGGTGCCCTCATGCCCCGCGCAGCTTTGCCCAGACACCCCCCCCAACATCAGGGTACCCTCATGCCCCGCACAGCTTTGCCCAGACACCCCCCCCACATCAGGGTGCCCTCATGCCCCGCACAGCTTTGCCCAGACCCCCCCACATCAGGGTGCCCTCATGCCCCGCACAGCTTTGCCCAGACACCCCCCCCACATCAGGGTGCCCTCATGCCCCGCACAGCTTTGCCCAGACCCCCCAACATCAGGGTGCCCTCATGCCCCGCACAGCTTTGCCCAGACACCCCCCCCAACATCAGGGTACCCTCATGCCCCGCACAGCTTTGCCCAGACACCCCCCCCCACATCAGGGTGCCCTCATGCCCCGCACAGCTTTGCCCAGACACCCCCCCAACATCAGGGTGACCTCATGCCCCGCACAGCTTTGCCCAGACACCCCCCCCAACATCAGGGTGCCCTCATGCCCCGCACAGCTTTGCCCCGACACCCCCCCCACATCAGGGTGTCCTCATGCCCCGCGCAGCTTTGCCCAGACACCCCCCCAACATCAGGGTGACCTCATGCCCCGCACAGCTTTGCCCAGACACCCCCCCCAACATCAGGGTGCCCTCATGCCCTGCGCAGCTTTGCCCAGACACCCCCTGCCACATCAGCGTGCCCTCATGCCCCGCGCAGCTTTGCCCAGACACCCCCCCCCAACATCAGGGTGACCTCGTGCCCCGCACAGCTTTGCCCAGACACCCCCCCCAACATCAGGGTGCCCTCATGCCCCGCACAGCTTCGCCCAGGCCCCCCCCCGCCACATCAGGGTGCCCTCATGCCCCGCACAGCTTTGCCCAGACACCCCCCCCACATCAGGGTGCCCTCATGCCCCGCACAGCTTTGCCCAGACACCCCCCCATCACGGTGCCCTCATGCCCCGCACAGCTTTGCCCAGAGACCCCCCCACATCAGGGTGCCCTCATGCCCCGCACAGCTTTGCCCAGACAACCCCCCCCACATCAGGGTGCCCTCATGCCCCGCACAGCTTTGCCCAGACACCCCCCCAACATCAGGGTGCCCTCATGCCCCGCACAGCTTTGCCCAGAGACCCCCCCCAACATCAGGGTGCCCTCATGCCCCGCACAGCTTTGCCCAGGCACCCCCCCACATCAGGGTGCCCTCATGCCCTGCACAGCTTTGCCCAGACACACCCCCAAAATCAGGGTGCCCTCATGCCCCGCACAGCTTTGCCCAGAGACCGCCCCCAACATCAGGGTGCCCTCATGCCCCACACAGCTTTGCCCAGGCCCCCCCGTCACATCAGGGTGCCCTCATGCCCTGCACAGCTTTGCCCAGACACCCCCCCAACATCAGGGTGCCCTCATGCCCCGCACAGCTTTGCCCAGGCCCCCCCCCACATCAGGGTGCCCTCATGCCCCGCACAGCTTTGCCCAGGCCACCCACACACACATCAGAGTGCCCTCATGCCCAGCACAGCTTC
This sequence comes from Homo sapiens, assembly GCF_000001405.40. Taxonomy (NCBI): domain Eukaryota; kingdom Metazoa; phylum Chordata; class Mammalia; order Primates; family Hominidae; genus Homo; species Homo sapiens. The sequence goes on along the minus strand of NT_187624.1, from coordinate 22,222 downwards.
TCCTGGAGGGAACACTTTCTCATATGTCCCCCGGGTAGGCCCTACTGATAAACAGTGTGTCCAGGACCAAGAGATTTCCTGGGATGTGGGGCATTCAGTGCTAAAACCTGGACAGTCCTGGGCCAATCCAGACTGTTGGTCACCCTTCCTGCAGAGGGGACATAAGAGGTCACAAGGTCACCAGGCTGATGCTCCTGAGAGGGCACAGCCAAGATGGACACCAAGTCCTGTGCTCACAGTATCCTCACCCGGCTGCCATGGCTTCTGGAGAGCAAGGCCATGGCTTGCCATACATGTAAGCGGGGTGGGGTCTGGGCCGGGCTGTGACTCCCCTCACCCAGACTAGGCAGGGACACTCAGCCTCCCCCAGCAGAGGGTGGCTCCTCAGGCTTCAGGAAGAGGCCCGAGAAGGAGGAGCCCCAGGGTCCAGGGCTGGAGACAAAGCTCAAAAGACGCACAGCACAGACACAGCGCTGGCCTGGAGTCCGGGGGGAGGCGGAGAGGGGCCATGATGAAGAGTTTAGAGAGGGCCCTGGGCACAAGAAGTGGGGCCCGACCTGGGCGGGAGGCAACCATTCAGCTGAGGCCTGGGGCTGAGCTGGCGTCCCCAAGACCCCCTGTGCAGTGGGCCGTGGCCGGCCTCCCACACCTCTGTCCACCTCTGTCCACCTCCTCTGTCCCGTCCCTAGGCTTGTCTGGACTTTGCTCTCCTCCAAGACTGCAGCCATGAAGATCCTCATGCCACAGCCCCTGCAGACCCTCATCTCCCTTCAGGGGGCCTCCAGCCTGAACCCTGGCTCCCCTTGATCCCCACCCAGCCTTTCATACGGTGCCCTTGCCCAGCCCAGAGCCCTGACTGCCTAGGTCTGGCCCAGACCACGCTTTTGGCTTCTGCATCAAAAGCCATTAAGCTAAACGCCATCACCACTCTTCCAAGACTGCCGTGTTCTTTTAAATCATCCCATAAACACAAGGCGGATGGTGACGTGGCCCACGCCATGCCCCGCTGAGGGTGGGGTCCCGACTCCCTCAGGCTCCCAGAAGCCTCGGCCAGATGAGGGGCGGCATCAACCCGGTGAGCCCGAATTGGCTCAAAATTCCAGAAGCCAAAAAGACGACAGCGCGGCGTGAGAATTGTTGGCACCACAGCTGCAAGCACCAGCCGGGTGTTGGCAGCAGCCCCATGCCCCCACCTCCATCCCCAGCACAGGGTGGCAGCCCGAAGGCCACAGGACCCAGCCGAGGGCACGGCCCGGCTTCCGCTACTGACTTGGCCTCGTCCGTTGATGACTGAGGCCACGGTTGTGGGGGTGGAAGGTGAGGGAGCTGCCCAGTCCTAGATTCAAACCTCTGTCTACCCCCTTGGGTACCGAAAGCTATGGTGACCACAGAGCCTGCACAATTAGACTCATTACAGGCACGTCTGCTGCAGGACCTGCAGGCCGGGCAGAATCTAGGTCAGCACAGGGGAGGGCCAGATCCAGCTCCTGCCCTTCCCCACTGCAGACCACATTTTGGAGCTGGATATAGGCTGAGGTCACAGGCAAGGAAAACTGCCCCGCAAGGCCACGTATACCACCTCACACCTCACCTCACCTGCGCCACCGCACAGCCGTGCCACACCTCACCAACGCCAAGGCACACCTGTGCCACAGCAGCAGCCTGGAGCCACCACGTGGCTTTTGTACATGCCCAGCTCCAGCACATGGACGTCTGCACAGCCACCGAACCTCAGAACCTCAGCAGGGATGCAGTTGCTATGACAACCTCAAGACTTTAAAAACCTGCTCCTGCCAGTGCTGCCTCTCCTGGTAAAAGCCTCCTCCACCTGCCATCCCTGCGACATCCCTGGGGATGGAGGAGGGAGGCCACTGAAGACCTGGTGTGATGTGGCCTACTGCCCTGGGCTGAGCACACTGGGATGGGGACAGGGTGGACCCGGAACCTGGCCCAGGACTCCATGGAGGGCTATGCAGGAGAGACAGATGTGTGTGTCCTGAAGGGCATGTGACAAACAGGGCCAGGACAAATGGAGAAACTGAGGCCCCTTCTGACTTATAAAGGTTTATCTGCTTCTCAGAGCTGAACCATCATTCACAGCTCTTTCTAGCTCAGTTCCTCTGACAAAAAAAAAACCATCACAGACTCTGGAAGTGGAGCCTATCCCCCTGCATGGTCAAACGTTCTGGACTGGGTAGAGCTGCAGTCCTCAGCTGGGCCCCCTCCTGGCTGCTGCCAAGGCAGTAGCAAAAGAGTCCCATCCACAAGCCCTGGACAGAGGTACCACCCCAACCCCTGCCAGGTCCCAGCCCAGTCTGAGCCCCCAGCACTGAGCCCAGGGCCTGGCATGCAGGGCACATTGGTTACATGGACCAGCAGAGGTGCTGGGAGCAAAGGGGTGGAGATAGGAACCAGGGCAGCCCATCAGCAGGAGGTCCAGGGAGGAGTTGGCCCATAGCGGGGTCCCCAGAGCTGAGGGTGACTCCACTCCAGTCCTCGCCGGTGCAGCAAAATGTCTAGCTCTGTGCAGAGAACGGGGATTTGGAGACAGAGGATACAACATGCACCAGCCAGGTGCCACCTCCCAGCACTGCCCCAGCTGCCCGCCCGGCAAAGCTCTTCTTCAGGGTCCTCACAGCTACACAGATTCACCTTCGGCATCCCCCGTGCCACAGCCTGCCTGAGATTTCATCACAGCAGGATCCCTGCTCACTGGCCACAGAAAGGCGTGGGCCATGGCCCTTCCAGCCCTGCAGCTGCTGGCTCCTCCTAGATGCTTGCCCAGTGACCCTCCCGAGGCTCCTCGAGCAGAGAACAGGGTCAGGAACAGGCTCCCCCGAGTGAGAGGTGCCCTCCTGGGCTCTGAACCTTATCAGAGAGACTCAGGGCATGTCCACGGGACGTGTGAGCAGGAATGTGTGCAGCCAGCACATGAAGCCTGAAGTGGGGCCCAAAAGTGCATCGAGTCATGCATGCAGACGTGTGTGGGTACAACGATGTTAGCCTTGCATGAGCAAATGAGACAGGGCATGTGAACATGACACATGGGGGCTGGATGCCATGAACACGGGGAATGAAACATGCGTGTGCACCGACGCCAATGCTGCAAGGATGCAGGGCAGCAAGCATGTGGCTGTGGGACTCTGACCCTGACCCGGCCACTGCCCCTAACTCTAACATTCCACCCCACCCCTGACCCCTCTCCAGCAGGGCCTGGTCCCACACCGCCACCCAGCCTTCCCCAGCCCAGTTCGTCTCACAGCAATCAGCTCAAGAGAGCCCCACCCCACCACCCACAAGCAATGGCTCCTGGCCTGAAGACGACCTGGCAGGCAGGACATGGCAGGTGCTGATCTGGAGAAGGTCATGCAACAATGGAGTGTAAGCGTGTGACCATGTGTGGGAGGGCAGGTGTGTACGTGCTGGCATCTGTGTGCTTGTGTGTATGTGTGTGCTAAGGTCTGTGTGTGCTGGAATCTGTGAGCAGGTGTGTATGTGCGTGTGTGTGTGTGTACTGCAGTCACAGCACGAGGATCAGCCAGTCCCCGGGGGTAGCTGAAGCTTCTGCCACAGGCTCAGGCCACTATCCATCCTTTGAGGTCGGGGTTTGTGCCAGGCAGGTTAGAAGGGGAAGAGAATGGGCAAGGTCAGAAGCTCCCTCACCTCCAACAGGGCCCATCATTCCGACCCTACCAGCTGCCAGCCTGGATCTGTTCTCTCCTGTCTGGATGTCCCCAAGGTGAGAGATCCAGAAAGGGTGGTGGGGGCTGCCTCACCCAGCCTTTCTCCTCCAACCTTCCCACCCCTCCTCATCTGCCCACGACGGAGAGCCCGGTCCAAGGTCAACAAATCTAGCCCCTGGAGCATCCCAGAGCTGCAGCCCATACTCCCCAGGCCCAGAAACCAGCCACGTAGGCACGGTCCTCCTGTGGAGGGACACGGACTGCCGGCCTACAGGGTTGTCTCCAGGCCAGGAGCCAACAGGCGAGTCAAAAGCCTCCAGATCTGGGCATGCATCAGCCTTTCCCATCTGAGGATCCTTCAGCAAGAATTCACGGCCTGACGAGAAAGCCAGACATAGTCCACGTCAGGTCTCGGACACTCCTGGGCCCTCTATGGGGGCTCAGGGCGCTCTGCCACTGCAGGCACCGGTGAAGGATGTCACAGGACATACACACACTCCCGCCCAGCCACATGTGTGTCCACACGCACTGACACACCTGAATAACCCCCTCCCCTGGAGACTCAAAGGCGCCTGCACCTGCCTGCCCACTCTGCCCACGATCTCCGAGTGGCCACAGCTGCTCCCAGCCCTGAGGACAGAGTGAGACCCCCTCCAGCCCTCTCCTACATCTCCAGACACACTGAGATCACCCAGGGACACGGCCCTGAGGCCAGGCACAGTGACACCTCCTCAGTGAAGCCCTCTGGGATTGTGCCTCCAGAGAGCACCTGGAAGCTTCCAAACTCAGGGCGGGCCCATTCCAGGGCCTATGCCTGGTTATTAGGGCCTGGGACTGGACAAGGCAAGGAGAACAGGGAGCAGTCACCACTGGGGAAGACTGTCCTGGGGGCCTGCTGTCCTGTGCTTGGATTCGGGTCTTTGTGAGTGAGCAGGAGGCTGCAAGCGCTTTGATAATTGATTTAAGCAACCCTCCCAGCCCCAAGAGGAGACAGGCCTGGGCCCTAGGGAACAGTCGCCCTCCTTCCTGTCTGCGTGCTTCAGTCACGATGGGATCTTTGCACCAGGCTCCCTGAGCCTGCCGCCTACACGCGCCTGGGGCGGCAGGAGGCATGTGGGTAGGGCAGGCACAGCTTTAGCAGATGAGGTTCAGAGATGAGAGGGAGGCCTCGGTGCCCCAGCCCCAGTAGCCCTGTAAACCCCTACTTGCAGAAGGCCTTGGTCAGGGTGGGGGCTGCCCACAGGCAGGCAGACCTACACGCCACCGTGACCTCCGGCTTCCCTGCAACAGCCACTTCCCCAACCTGCTCAGGCCTCTGCTCCCCCAGCTGTCACCTCCAGAACCTCTGGCTTTAGGACCTGGTCCCAAGGGCCCTCTTTCCCCCAGGGGCCTTGCCCCCACTCGCCCAGCCTCCCCGACCCACTCCGGGTTTCAGCACAAGCGTTGCCTTCTCTGCAAGGCCCAGTGGCCTCCTGCTGCCCCCAGAGCTCCCCTTCCTCCTGCTCCACAGTGCACTGCACTATTTCATCTACCATCTGCTTCCCCCACCAAAGGGCCAGCCCCACGAGAGCAGGAATTGTTCCCTGTGCTCACCGCAGTCCTCCTGGGCAAGTGTTTGTGCAGCAGATGAATGACTCAGGGCCTAAGTTCGGGTATTTGGGAGGTGGCTGAGGACCCAGTCTGGCTACCCTGGCCCCTCTCACCTGCCCTGAGCTAAGGTGCCCGGTGTCTATGGTCCTGTCTAACATGACCTCCCCTGGGGACAGTTCATTGCTGACTGGACGGGGAAAGAGAGAGGCAGCGGGTGCCCCGAGGTATGGTGGGGAATCCTGAATTTAAATGAGAAATGGCCCCTTCCCAGTTTTATAAATAAAGTGTGTTTTCTCCCAGCTTCCCTGGAGAATTCACCTCCCACTCTGAGGGAAACTGGCCCTGAATTACTTATCTCTTTCGAGAGAGCTAAGCTGCCCAATTACCTGCTTAGAGAACACCAGGCCTGGAACTCTCGCTGGTCTTTTTTTTTTCCTTGTGACAGGGCCCCACTCCGTCACCCAGGCTGGAGTGCAGTGGCACGATCTCGGCTCACTGCAGTCTTGACCTCCTGGGCTCAAGCGATTCTCCCACCTCAGCCTTTCAAGCAGCTGGGACTATAGGCATGCACCACCATACCCAGCTAATGTTTGTTTTTCTGTTTTTTTTGAGACAGAGTCTCGCTCTGTCCCCCAGGCTGCAGTGCAGTGGCATGATCTCGGCTCAATGCAACCTCCGCCTCCCAGGTCCAAGAAATTTTCCTGCCTCAGCCTCCCGAGTAGCTGGGATTACAGGCACCCACCATGACGCCCGGCTAATTTTTGTATTTTTAGTACAGACGGGGTTTCGCCATGTTGGCCAGGCTGGTCTTGAACTCCTGACCTCAGGTGATCTGCCCACGTCGGCCTCCCAAAGTCCTGGGATTACAGGCGTGAGCCACCGCACCCGGCCTTTTGTATTTTTTTTGTAGAGATGAGGTTTCACCATGTTGCCTTGACTGGTCTCGAACTCCTGGGCTCAAGCAATCTGCCCACCTTGGTCTCCCAAAGTGCTGGGACTACAGGTATGAGCCACCGCCCCCGGCCCTCTCACTGGTCTTAATGGCCTAGGCCTCTTGGGAGGACTTAACCTGCAGGGCCACAGCTACAGTTGAGGCTCATCTTGGAGAGCTGATGGAGGAGAGAGAGCAGGGCAGACAGGCCTGGACTCTGGCCACAGGGCAGAATCCACCCCTCCTACCAGGGCCTGCCTGGCTGGAGATGAGATGGTCAACAAGCACACTGGAGTCTGTATGAATCTCTGGGTCTGTATGCCTGCTACACATATGCATGCCCGTGTGAAGATCCAAGTCGCAGCACGGACTGAGGGACAGGTGTCCCTGCACACAGGGGGACAGGTGGAGGGCAGCTGCCACACCTATGTGAAGCGGCAACAAGCGTGAAGCCAGCACAGCTATGTTGTGTGTTGCTCAGGCTGTCCCAGGGTCCTGGCGCTTCTCCCTGGCCCCTGCCCTAGGGGTCTCCTTCAGGTCCCTGCAAGACCCCCACACGCAGCCCCACAAAATGCTCAGATGCACACTGACTGGCACCCATCACTCCCTCACCCCACACCCCAGACAGAGGATGTGCCATGTCAGTGGCCTTGCTGTCAGGCCCCCACCACCGTTCTGCCCAACAGAGCTGACCACGGCTCCCTCCCTCCCTGGCCTCTCCTCTCTTCACCCAAAGGGCCTCACAGGTTCATTTGAAAAGGCCAATTTATTTCTGAAAATGGAAACCATTTCCACAGAACGATGCTCTCACAAGCTCACAGCTGGCTGGAACAATGCCCAGCCCACGAACAGAGCAAAGGGCCTTTCTGAGCCCTGAGTGCTGGGGGTACAGACGGGGGAGCACCCCCGGCTCAGGCCCTGGTGTTGCAGCGGGCATCGGTGAGGTGCTTCTGGGAGGAGGAAAAGGCCCCTGGGGCTGCTGCTTTTGTGGCCAGGAGGACCTGACACCTCCAGCCGGCCTCCCCGGGGTCCTGAGCTCAGCACCTGGCAGTCTCCCCCATCCCCACTGCCCTCAGGGTCCCCATCCCTTCCATCATGCGCACCCCACCTCCAATGTGACCGGCGGGCGGTGGTGCCAGACCAGCCTTCAGGACAGGCTCAGGAGAGCAGAGCTAGAGTCTGGGAGGGGCTCCGATTCCCAGACTCACCAGATACCGGTGGAGGGAAGAGGACCCAGACTCGTGGTTGGCTTCAGAGGAAGCCAGACACACAGTGGGATCTTTGCATGGGAAGATTCTGTGCTCTGAGGGATGCCTCTGACACTGGGCTCCCCACTACTGAGGCTTAAGGGAAGACCCTCCTGGAACACCCTGCTCTGAAGAAGGTGTGGGTGGCAGTCGGTATCCTGCAGGGCAAAGACCAGCAGGGGTGCCCAGAGCTCAGGCCACACGGGGGTCACTGGGCAGGCTGCCAGCCAGCCCTGGGGGGCAGAGGAAGGCACCGGCACTAGCCTGGGCCCCTCCCAAAATGCATGGAAGGGAGAGGCCCCCAGCAATGCCCCCAGGGAGGCCCAGAGTCAGGCAGTGTGGCCAGCCCCACCCCAGGACAGCAGCTCGGTGACAGCAGGCCCCCAGGGAGGCCCAGAATCAGGCCAGCGTGGCCAGCCCCACCCCAGGACAGCAGCTCGGTGACAGCAGGCCTGGGACATTCTCCCAGTGCCCGGTGCTGAGGCCATGGTCGGCCGCTCCCCAGCCAAGACCAGTGACCGCCTGGCCCAGCCCACACCCTGGTCAATGCCTGGGCCACCACATGCCAGGCCTGGCCTCTCTGTGTCACGCCTCTGGTTTCCAGGAGCTGTGAACTGACCCCTCCCGACCCCACGAACACCCCAAATCACAAAATTCAGCCCCAATGCACCCTCTCCTCACGGCTGCTAATCACCATCCCCTGACCTTGTGGGCGTCAAGCTCCACTTATGTGACAAACTGTGGCTACAAGCCCCACGCTCCCTCGAGACACACCCACAGATCCCCCCCACCGCCATCCCCAAACTGGCTGAAGAGGAGTGTGAGATATCTCAGCAGGGTTCCCTGACCCCGGACTCAACATCCACATGGCACAGCCCATAGAAGGGTAGCTCGGGGCCCACCCACAGTGTACCCTCAGGCTGGCGACATCAGGGTACTCAGGGCGACTGCCCAGGCTCCTGTCCTAACCAATAGACTTGACAGAGCAACTCTCAGGAAAGAAGGCCGACCATGAGTGTGCGGTGACATCCTTGCAACCCCACAGGCAGCGGGCACAGTCTCGATGGGCAGACACATCTCCCCAGACTGAAAACACACAGTGACCAGGCACGGTGGGTCATGGCTATAACCTGAGCACTTTGGGAGGCTGAGGTAGAGGCTGAAGCTCAGGAGATCGAGACCAGCCTGGGCAACATGGTGAAACCCCGTCTCTACAAAAAAAAACACAAAAATTAGCCAGGCATGGTGGCACATGCCTGTAGTCCCAGCTACTTGAGAGGCTGAGGTGGGAGGATCACCTGAGCCCAGGGAGGTCAGGGCTGCAGTGAGCCATGATAGTGCCACTGCACCCCAGCCTGGGTGACAGGGCAAGACCCTGTCTCAAAAAAGAAGAAAGGAAAGAAAACACAGACCCTCTGACCCAACACGTCTCCGCTGAGGAGCGGCTCTGAGACTGGCGACTGCTCGTGTCAGCTGTGGCGTTGCCTGCAAAGCAGGTCCAGATGCGGCCGAGCTGCACACACACGGGTTGGATAAGCCAGGGTGCGTCCAGCAAGGAAGAAAAGCAGGGAGAAGGGAAGGACTTAAAGACCAACCCAGAGCAGAGTGTGATGCTCACCACCTCTGCAGGACGGCGGGAGAGTTACGTGTCAGCGTGAGAACGTCTTCTCTGCAGCCTTTCACAGCTTGCCTAGGCTGAGTTCCTCTTTTAGCAAAAGACAAAAAAAGAAGGTGGGTTGCCTATGGCCAACAAGTTCTGCTTCCACATGAGGGCATACAGACCCCCCAGATGCCCACACTCAGCCAAGGACATGTAGACCCACTCAGATACAACGCAGAGCTCACCCACAGAGACCCCCATACAGGCAGACACAGGCCCACACACGTACATGTCCTAACTGGCACACACACACAGGAACACACCATGTACACACACAGGGTGGGGCAGGAGACCCACCAAGACACCCATGTTCACAGATAAGGGTGCCCAGGCCCACAGTGACTCCCGGACAGAGGCACAGATGCCTTCAGTGCCCTCTGCCCGAAGACCTGGGCACACCCAGAGGCCCCTGCATGGAGTCCCTTCCTGACACACAGGCGCACACGTGCCTCAGCCGCCCACTGAGGAGTCTGCCTGGGTAAGTGAATGCTGAGGAGACCCTGGGACAGCCGACTGCAGGCGCTACTGCAGCTCAGGGGAAGGTGGGGCCTGCCTTCCGGGCTCCACGTCAGCAAGGGGGATCCGCCTCCCTCCCTCACCAGCATCAGCACTGACACCAGGCTGGGAACCTCGCAGCCGGGGCTGAGGCAGCCAGCAGGGCAGGTCTTGAAACTCCTGAAACCTCAGCTGGAGGTCTGTCAGTGAGGACCACACCTCGCCCTCCATCCCTGCGACTGCCTGTACTGGCCAAAACCAGGAACACACCAAGGCTACCAACTTCTGGACTCGAAGCACTGGACAGGTCAGTGGAGAGAAGAGTAGCTGGACCAGCAGGGTCTGCAGCATCTCTCGGGAGGGTGTGAGGGAGGGTGCAGACTCCAAGACCCCTGAGGGAAGGACCTTCAGATTCAAGGGAGCCAGAGATGAGCTTGGGAGGTGTGTTTCCAAAGGGACCGCTTGATTCTACGCAGCCCGTGCATCTGCGGGTTGCTGGGGCAGGGACGGATCCACATCTCTTCCCAGGAGGGTGGCCAGCAGCTGCTCTCTGCGGGAGGAGGGAACTGATCTGCTGAAGTCTCACCAGGAAGAGGCGGGAGGAGGCCCCCACACACCCCACCAGGCTCCCTCTGGCCCCATGTCCTTGACCTGGCAAAGTGGCCGCAGTCTCTGCCAGAGAACCTGGAGTGGCTGTGCCCTAACAGACGGCCGGATCTCAAAGTCTCTGGTTGTTTTTCTTTCCTAGAATCCAGCCCAAGGAGGCCCCCAACCAGATACCCAACTCCAAGGCACCTCCCACCTGCCCAGGGCGCAAATCGTCAACGGTCCCAGCTACAATGCAGGCCGCTGGGCACCCAGAGCCCCTTGACAGCAGGGGCTCCTTCTCCCTCCCCACGATGGGTGCCAACGTCTCTCAGGACAATGGCACTGGCCACAATGCCACCTTCTCCGAGCCACTGCCGTTCCTCTATGTGCTCCTGCCCGCCGTGTACTCCGGGATCTGTGCTGTGGGGCTGACTGGCAACACGGCCGTCATCCTTGTAATCCTAAGGGCGCCCAAGATGAAGACGGTGACCAACGTGTTCATCCTGAACCTGGCCGTCGCCGACGGGCTCTTCACGCTGGTACTGCCCGTCAACATCGCGGAGCACCTGCTGCAGTACTGGCCCTTCGGGGAGCTGCTCTGCAAGCTGGTGCTGGCCGTCGACCACTACAACATCTTCTCCAGCATCTACTTCCTAGCCGTGATGAGCGTGGACCGATACCTGGTGGTGCTGGCCACCGTGAGGTCCCGCCACATGCCCTGGCGCACCTACCGGGGGGCGAAGGTCGCCAGCCTGTGTGTCTGGCTGGGCGTCACGGTCCTGGTTCTGCCCTTCTTCTCTTTCGCTGGCGTCTACAGCAACGAGCTGCAGGTCCCAAGCTGTGGGCTGAGCTTCCCGTGGCCCGAGCAGGTCTGGTTCAAGGCCAGCCGTGTCTACACGTTGGTCCTGGGCTTCGTGCTGCCCGTGTGCACCATCTGTGTGCTCTACACAGACCTCCTGCGCAGGCTGCGGGCCGTGCGGCTCCGCTCTGGAGCCAAGGCTCTAGGCAAGGCCAGGCGGAAGGTGACCGTCCTGGTCCTCGTCGTGCTGGCCGTGTGCCTCCTCTGCTGGACGCCCTTCCACCTGGCCTCTGTCGTGGCCCTGACCACGGACCTGCCCCAGACCCCACTGGTCATCAGTATGTCCTACGTCATCACCAGCCTCAGCTACGCCAACTCGTGCCTGAACCCCTTCCTCTACGCCTTTCTAGATGACAACTTCCGGAAGAACTTCCGCAGCATATTGCGGTGCTGAAGGGCCTGGGCACCATCACCCCCATCATCATGCCCATCATCACCCCCCATCATCATCACGCCCATCATCATCATGCCCACACCCCCATCAGGCCCACCCCCCCCCACCCCCACCACCACCCCCACCATCACCCCCACCACCACCCCCATCATCACGCCCATCATCATGCCCACCCCCATCACATCCACCATCACGCCCACCCCCATCACCCCCACCCCCACCATCACGCCCACCATCACCCCCACCCCCACCCCCACCCCCATCATCACGCCCACCCCCCCCACCACCCCCACCATCACCCCCATCATCACGCCCACCCCCACCCAGTTCCGGCTGTCTCTTTCAGGGGACGCCCGGCCTGTTCACATCCCAGTGCTGTCCTCTCCACGCAAGGAGACACAGACCCTCACACGCTGGCCACCAGACCTACAGACAGCCGTGGGCATATACCTCCCATGTCTCTGCTTCCTGGACAGCCCCTGGGTGGACAGCAGCAGGGATCCAGGTCCTGGCAGAGGCCCCCACACAGCAAGCATCCCGGGCCCACTTACCCACGAGAGACAGACAGATGGACAAGCCCCTTGGAAGGCTCTGGGACTCAGGATCCCTAATGACAGTGGTCGGGAGGGGAGGGAACCTGAACTGTGATCTTGACCTGGGCCACGTTACATAGTCTCTCCCCAAGATGGGGCCGGGGGGTGGTAAGTGCGGGCACCTCAGGCAGCAGCGATGCTGTGTTGCTGCAAAGGCGGACACCTGCACCGCATGAGACCCAGAAATCCACTCTCGTGGCCTGAAGCCCAAGTGGAGTTCCAGCAGGAGGCCCAGCCCCGCCGTGCCCATGTGCCATGGCCTGTGCTGCTGTGTTCCCCCTGCTGTGGCCGACGGTCCTTGCCATGGCCTGTACCCGCCCTGCTGTGTCCGACAGTCCTCTCCATGGCCTGTGCTCCCCTGTGCCCCCCTGCTGTGTCCGACGGTCCTCTCCATGGCCTGTGCTCCCCTGTACCCCCCTGCTGTGGCCGACAGTCCTCACCATGGCCTGTGCTCCCCTGTGCCCCCCTGCTGTGGCCGACAGTCCTCACCATGGCCTGTGCTCCCCTATACTCCCCTGCTGTGGCCGACGGTCCTCTCCATGGCCTGTGCTCCCCTGTACCCCCCTGCTGTGTCTGACGGTCCTCTCCATGGCCTGTGCTCCCCTATACTCCCCTGCTGTGGCCGACGGTCCTCTCCATGGCCTGTGCTCCCCTGCTGTGGCCGACAGTCCTCACCATGGCCTGTGCTCCCCTGTGCCCCCCTGCTGTGTCTGACGGTCCTCTCCATGGCCTGTGCTCCCCTGTACCCCCCTGCTGTGGCCGACGGTCCTCGCCATGGCCTGTACACCCCTGCTGTGGCCGATGCTCCTCTCATACTTTACTAGAGGCTACAGGGCCCTTTTGCCAGGACCTCTGGGCCACCACAGCCTAGGGACCATCCATCACTTGGACAGGCTGGCACCTGGAACTCTCTCTCCCGGGGTGTGGCCAGGGGCTTGTAATCAGCCAGCAGGAGCTGCATGCTGAAACTCTGGTGGGGGCAGGGTGAGGGGTGGTAATGAAATGCAGGCAGTTCAGAGACCGCTGACTGTCAGGTGGGAGGGGCCAGGGGTTGGTCCCAGGTGTGCTGTGGCCAGGCCCCGACTCTTGGCCCCATGGCTCTCAGCTGGTTCCATGCCTGGCATTCCAGCCTGGCAGTGAGGTGTGAGTGTTCTGGGTTGGTTTCAGTCCTCATGACCCAGAGCTCTGATCAATCTGTCCAGCCGGCACACAGGACCCACCATTCACCGCCCCACGAGGTGTCCCAGGGTGTATGCCCACCTCCACCCATCCACCAAATACTCCAGCGTTCCAGCCCACTCGGCTCAGGCCTGCAGCAGTGCCCCTCCTCCGTGCTAGCCAGCCAAACACGCCACGGCCATCTCCATCCACTTATCCTCCCTGACAACATTGTATTAGATATCTGTTGCTGAATAACAAATTTCTCCAAAACTTAGCCGCTTAAGACAACTTCTACTATTTCACTTCTGTGGTTCAAGAATTAAAGTGGCTTTTTGGGTGGTTCTGGCTCAGGGTCTCTCCTGAGGTTGCAGTCAGGACCTTGGCCCAGGCCCTGACCCTCTGAAGGCTGGGCAGGGGCTGGGGTATCTTCTTCTGAGAAGTCTTCCTTCCATGGCTATGGGCAGGAGGCCTCTGCTCCTCAACACATGGATGCTTCAGGGGCTGAGTGTCCTCGAAACATGGCACTGGGTCCCCCAGAGCCAGCGACCCAGGGAGGAGCCAGCGACCCAGGGAGGAGCCAGCGACCCAGGGGGGAGCCAAGAGGAAGCCTCAATACATTTGAGGCCAAGATTCCGAAGCCACTTGCCTTCCCTTCTACTACATTCTGTGCATTGGAAGCAAGTCACATGTCCAGCCCACACTCGGGGGCTGTAGACGGTTTATTTTTCTTTTGCTTCAATTTTTTTTTTTTTAATTGAGAAGGGATCTCACTCTGCTGCCCAGGCTGGAGTGCTGTGGTGGGGTCACGGCTCACTGCAGCTTCGACTTCCTGAGCTCAAGCAATCCCCCCACATCAGGCTCTGGAGTAGCTGGGACTACATGCGTGCGCCACCACGCCAGGCAAATTTTTCTTTTTTTTGAAAGACGGGGTCTCACTATGTTGCCCAGGCTGGTCTCAAACTCCTGGGCTCAAGTGATCCTCCTGCCTCAGCCTCCCAAAGTGCTGGGATTACAGGCATGAGCCCAGTCTGTGGGCAATTTTTAAGCCACCACCAACACCGACACCGCAGGAAGAACAAGCTGTCCCTGGATTTGTTTCCTGGCTGCGCTGCAGTCACACCTCGCAAAGCAGCAGCACGGCAGCCTGACTGCGCTCTGCACGCTGTTACGGTGCCCCGGAGCCCCTTGAGGAGACAAGTGAGACTGTGTTTCCCAGACACCCGCTCCAAGCCCGCGGCAGAGCCAGGTGTGAGGCGTAATGAGCAAGTGAACAACGAGGGGCGGGCAGGAGAGGCCCGGGCGTGGGAATGTGCGCAAGGCAGGACTGAGAGTGAGCACCGCGGGGTGGGGGGCGGAGGGGGCGGGGGAGCTTAAGGAGCGCCCAGGCAAGAGCCCCTACAGCCCTCAGGGCCGAGGTCTCCCACCCTGCCCCCAGTTTGCCCTCCGGCCCCAGCCGGGCGTCTCTGCTGCAGAGAAGGCGCCAACCAGGATTCCTCCAAAGAACCCGGACCCCTTCTTACCTCGGGCGTCTCCTGTCCCCATCCACAGACCAGCAATGGGATCCTCAGCGTCTTCTCCCCGGGGACCAGGCAGATCCGGCACGGCCAAAGGGTCTGCAGACCGCCCCGCGGCCAGCCGGGAGGGAGGGGCGGGCGAGCTCTCCCCGGGAGGCGGGTCCTCCCGCTCCGCGGACCTCCTGACACGGGGCGGGGTGGGCGCGGGGCAGGGGCCGCACTGAGCGGCTCAGCCCGCCACGTCTCCACGCTCTGGGCTCCTGGTCCCAGGAGAGCCCGGCCCCGCCACCCGCTTTAAGACCCCGCTAGTCACCGCGGTTCCCGCCGCAGCGCCCCGGGGCCCAAGGCTGGGCCCGCGTGAGCCCACAGCGCCCCCTGGAGGGAGGGTCCGAGGCCGCTGCTGAAGCCCCGCCTTCCTGAGGTCGGACGCGACCCGGGACCCTCCCGGGCGCCCCAGCCTTCCCCCACAACCCCACAAAGAGGGTTCTGCGGTCCCCTTTGCACACGGAAGGAAACCGAGGCTCAGAAAAGCCAGGCGACTTGACCAAGCCCGACAGCAGAGGTGGGCTGGGGGAGCCGGGGGCTGGAGAGGAGACCCAGGGTGCGGTCAGAGGAGGGGTGGAGTGGGCCGGGGTGGAACCCAGTCCTGGAGGGCAAGGGAGCTAGTCAGCTTCCAACGCCCCCCAACTCCTCCTACGGCCCTTGGCCCCTGTCTGGCCAGCTCCTTCTGGAAGACACTAGCTGTGGGCTTAGCCCTGGATCCACACCCACCCGAAGACAGGACAGTCCGCACCATGTGTGAGCCTCCTCTACCAAGACCATACCATCTCCCGGGCCCAAGGGCACAGTAACTGCCCCGGTGCAGCCTCTCCCTCCCAAATTGTCCCTTGATGCTATATTTTTGCTTTGATGGCAATGTGTTTGTTATGAACTATTTGTGTTCCTCCAAAATTTGCATTTTGAAATCTCAGCCCCCCAAGCTGATGGTATCAGGAGAGGGGGGCCTTTGGGAGATGACAGGTCATGACGGCAGAGCCCTCCTGAATGGGATGAGTGCCTTTAGGAAAGGCACGCTCTCCAGCTGTCAAACCCATGTCATGACATAGTGAGAAGATGGCCCTCTGCAGCCTGGGAGCGGGTCTTCCCCGGAACCTGACCGTGCCTGCACCTGATCTCAGATCTCCAGCCTCCAGAACCATGAGAAATAAACATCTGATGTCTCTATTGCCACTGAGTCTATGGTACTTTGCTATAGCAGTCCAGGATAAGACAGTGTCTGTCATTCAAACCTACAGAAAATCCTACAGAACTTGCCCATCTGCCCATGCCCTGGAGACGAGTACTTGGACTGGAGTGTGCCCGTGCCCACCCTCCAAAGCTGCTCTGTTTTGCAGGTCGGCCTGGGCTGAACTGGGCCAAACAGGAACCAGGAGGCAGATGTCCATGGCAAGAGTGTACCCAGCCCTAGAGGAGGCCGTCTGCTCATCCTTCACCAAAACTCCCCTCAGATCTGCTCAAGGAAGGGGAAATGAGCAGGAGCAGGGGTTCTTCTGAGATGAAATGGGGGTAAGAAAACCCTGCAACCTGGGTGGGAGCAGCACCCTCCCACTGTATCCTCAGGAAACCTCTCTTTCCAGGGGGCAGGGGAGAGGTGCAGCCATCGGTTGTTTAGAGAGAAACCGTGTGTGCTGAAGAAAAGGTAACAGCCCGGCCAACACACCATTAACTGGCTTCAACTCTCCCCAGGGTTGCAGCCTCCTGGGGGACGTTTCACTGAGGGCAGAGCCCAGCCTGTTGAGCAGCACAGGACAGGTACAAGAATTCAGCCTAAACCCATAGCCTCCTCCCACCCACGTGCCAATCCCAGAAAAGTCACTCCAGAAGCAAATCCCCAGGTGGCAGGAGCCAGAAACACTGGTTACAAAGAATACCCAGCCAGTGAGCAGGTGTTTATTAGGGTCCTTTTTCATTACCCCAGAGACAGACCCAGGGCTGGCTACGTGCACAGGAAGTAACGCTTGCCACATGCATAAATACGTGAAGGTGCACATTACATCAGCACAGATTCACAAAACACCTCGCCTTGGCAAGAAAACTGTAGCTAGGCAGCTCCCGTCCTCAGGGACTCCTGCCACAGACGTCATGGAGACAGCATGAGCCTCCCCAGAACAGTCCCCACGGCCTAGACTCCCCAGAGCAGGAGGAGCAGCCCAGGCTCTGTTGCGAGACAGCCATCACTTCCTGTTCTTTGCAGGTGCCTAAGGTAGGTTACCTGGCCAAGGTTTTGGTGGAAAAAATGAGTTTTTTCAATGTTGCAGGTCTTTTAATAGTTCATCTGTAGGAAGTGCATTTGCAAAGTCACCAACCTGCAGCTTCCATCTGTAGACCAGGAAGGGTGATTCTCTGGGTGACCACAGCGGGGCATCCCCTGAGGTACAGACGCCCCCCCCCCAACCCCCGCAGTGTCCTCACAGCCACCACAGCCTTTGCAGTTTGGCTCAAGCAAGCCCTGCCAGGCCCCACCCCTCATGCTGGCTCTGCTGTGAAGCCATCCTCCCGTTGGGCAGCAAGCTCAGGCCCTACACAGAGCCATCTTGAGGCTTGTAAATGAAGCAGGCGTCCCCAGAGCAGGACTCTGCTGTGGCCACCAGCTTCTCCTTCCACACAGCTTCCCCCGCAACACAGCACGGCCACTGACCTCTGGCTTCAAGCAAAGGAGAGGCTGTGAGGGGAGCCTTGGGAGGATGTGGGGACCCCCAGAGAATCTTCTCCCACCCAAACAGAGCAGTCAAGACCAGGAAAACGAGGCCTCCACTTTGTGAACAGAGCTGCCCATGTGGTCACGCGGCGCCTTCGTCCTGAGACACCTGCCCCACACTGAGAAGCAGGGCTGGGTTGACGGTCCACAGCATGATAGTTCATTGCACCGCTGGAGGGAATGGGCCAGGGCCTCTCGCTGGTCTCCTGAAGGGAAATGGGGGTTGGGCCCAGAGTCAAGCTGCAGTCAGGGATGAGGCCTGCACCGTGCAGCACACAGAAAACCTTCAGAGGTGCGGCTGGCCCAGGGCCAGCTCGGGGTCTGCAGCCAGGGACTGCCAGCCCCCACCTGGACACTTTCTCCTGGGGTGGCCCCGGCTGCACAGGTGGAGTCGGAACAGGCAAGTCCTCCAGGTGGCAGCTCCAAGCTCAGGGCAAGTCCCACCCCAAAGAAAAGCTGCCTGCTGCACTTCCCGGGCAGTGCCAAGCCTGTCCAGCTGCCCTGAGGAGACGTCACAGGGCTGAAGGCAGCTGGAGCCCTGCCATGCAAACAGCACACAGCACATGGGGGGCACAGGATGACACAGCTGCTGCTCCTCCTCCGGGTGCCTGCCCACCCAGGGTTCTGCCAACGCAGCAGCAGAGAGGCCAAGAGTCACATGAAGCACGGGGAGGGAGGGGCACGGGCTCCAGTCACGGCCGTCCACCAGCATGTCAGCTGCTTCCAGGTAGGTCCTTGTGTCCCCTCGGCCCTGCACCAGGAGGGCAGCTTTAGTCTGTCTGGGGCCATGGAGGTGGCCCTAATGCTTTGACCTGTCCCATGATGTCACTAGGTCCTCCTCTGGGACCGAGCATCCCTGGCCCACAGGGAAAAGCCCATCCCAGGCTCTGGATGCTCAGGGCCCAGGGTGTGTCCGCCTAGAGAGCAGTGACCTGTGTGAGCTCTGTGTTGGGCGTAGATGGGCTCTGCGGGCTGACAGGCACCATGGGCAGGTCCACGCCTAGTCATGCGGGCCGCGGTACCGTCTCAGAGGTCTTGCAGGCCAGGGCCACGTCCTTGGCAATGCTGCGCACGCGGTCAGACACCTGCACGTCCCGGCGCAGGGCAGATGCACAGCAGAACTTGCGGAAGCAGGCCTTGAAGTTCTCATCCAGGAAGGCGTAGAGGATGGGGTTGAGGCAGCTGTTGACGTAGCCCAGGGCCGTGCAGAAGCGCAGAATGGCCACGGCAGTCTCGCTGCTCGGCTGAACCCCCAGCCCTTGGGCCAGCACGAAGACCTGGACAGGCGTCCAGCAGCCCACGAACACAGCCACTACCACCAGCACCAGCCGAGTGATGCGCCGCAGGTTCCGGTCCTTCTCTCGGGAGCCCGAGAGCAGGCGGACTCCACGGAGCCGCCGGATCATGAGGCTGTAGCAGACAGAGATGACGAGCACGGGGACGATGAAGGAGAAGAGGAAGATGCAGATGGCAAACACCGGGCCCCAGTAATCCTGAGGGGTAGGGATCTCCACCAGGCACTCGATCTCTGCAGGGAGAGAAACGGGGTCAGAGTGGGCCCAGGAGACGTGGAGGGCACGTGGGCCCAGAGGAGCCACCCGGGAGCCAGGGAGCCTGGTGAGGGGAGGAGGGGACACCCCACTGACCTTCATCCTCGACCTGTGCCGAGCCCATGATGGCAACGGGAACACCGACAACAGAGGCCAGGGCCCAGATGGCCACATTGACAGCCTGGGCTTTGCTGGACGTGCGGACGTCGAGGGCACGGATGGGGTGGCAGATGGCTACATAGCGATCCACACTCATGGCAGTTAGGGTGAAGGTGCTGGTGAACATGTTGTAGTAGTCAATGGCAATGACTGTCTTGCACAGCGCATTCCCAAACGGCCAGAAGCCCAGGAGGATGTCCGTGCCCTGGAAGGGCAGCGTCAGCAGGACCAGAGTGTCGGCCAGGGCCAGGTTAAAGATGTAAATATTGGTGGCTGTCTTCATTTTGGTGTGCCTGCGGAGTAGAGGGAGAAGAAAGGCTTCACTTGGCCATGCTGGCTGGACCAGGCAGCAAAGGGCAAGGGGCTCCTCTTGGCCACCACAAGCTACAGTGGCCCTGAGTCCCTTAACATCAGAGTTCCCATGGGGGCTTGGTAAGTGATAGCTCCTGGACCCAACCTGAGACTCATGAGTCAGTCTCAGGGGGTAGGGCCTGGGGTCAAACGTCTTAACCAGCTCCTCAAGTGACTCTGACACACACAGAAGGATTCCAAGCCTTAAACACAGGTCTACTTTAGAGGAGTCAGGGCATGTAGGCTACCAGAACACACCCCGGATTCTGCACAGGAGCAAAGGTTTAGAGCCCTAAGGGAAAGAGTCTGCTCCCCTTGCTTTTGAGTCCCCTCCATGACCCCTCACAGACTCAAATGCTGACCCTACAGTTGCCAGAGGTTTCTGAGGGCTCCAGAATCTGTAAGAACATATCAAAAGGCTTCCAAGTCCACACTGCTGCCTAGCAATGGAGACCGAAAATGGTGACGGGGGGACAGGAGGGATGCTAATAAGGTATGAGTGTATCCAAGCACCTGAAATGGTGCTGGAAAGGGCTGGGAAAATCGTTGGTGATTAATAAATTTTTGTTAAATAAGTTAATGGTTGTAATAGTTGGGGGGGATTATGGTGGTGATGGTGGTGGTGATGATGGCAGTGATCATGGTGGTGATGGTGATGACTGTGAGCGTGATGGTAGTGGTGATGATGATGATGGTGATGATGGTGATGACTGTGATGATGGTGATGGTGATGATGGTGGTGGTGGTGATAGTGGTGATGGTGATGATGGTGGTGATGGTCGTGATGATGATGGTAATGATGGTGGTGGTGGTGATAGTGGTGATGGTGATGATGGTGGTGATGGTCGTGATGATGATGGTAATGATGGTGGTGGTGGTGATAGTGGTGATGGTGGTGATGGTCATGATGATGATGGTGATGATGGTGGTGATGGTGGTGGTGAGGATGGTGAGGATGGTGAATGTGATAATGAAGGTGCTGGTGGTGGTGATAGTGGTGATGATGATAGTGGTGATGATGGTGGTGATGGTGATGATTGTGATGATGATGGTGGCGGCGATATTGGCAGTGGCAGCAGCACCCAAGATGACACTATTCTGTGTCAGTGTAGCTGCCGTGAGGAAATATGGGGCTCCATTCTGCCTGTTAGAGAGGGATTATGAATAAGCACAAAGAGGCCGCAATTACGAAGAGACAACAACAATGACAATGATCATGGCAAATACCTGTGCCAAGCTCTTCAGGGGGAATTTATGTCATTGAAGATTTGCAAAAATACTACTTTGATCCCCACTCTATAGAGGAAGAAACTGAGGCCAAGAGGATCTATGTTGTTTTTTTAAGGCCTTAGAGCTGGTAAAAAGCAGAGCAGGGCTCAGAACGGAGTGTCCTGACTCCCAAGATGGTCACCCCAGCCCACTGGCTGGAAACATGCTGCATGCGGCCTCTCGGGCCAGTGTGGCCACGGCAGCTCCTGAGCATTGCTCTCTCTGGGGACTCTGGCCAGCAGAGGACCTTCCCTGTCTGCTCTAATCCAGGAAGTGCCTCTGAGAGATTAAATGCCTCAATGCAGAGGAGAAACACAGTAGAGAAGCGATCATATCAGGAAAGGTGCTCAAGCCCAGGGACTTCCCCAGGCTGCCGCACTCCTCAGCCGTGACACGCCCGCCAGCCACAATGGGACATGCACATCACGAGGCAACCTCCCCAGGAGCCTCCCTTAGGAGTCAGCAGTGGGGAGGGACAGCTGTTCTTCCCACTGTCTCGTCTGACCACGCATCACCTGCACACACATGTACACACACATACATATACACGTGGCTGCATGGTCCACCTTGCTCACTTTCCAGATGGGAAAAACAAGGCCCAGAGGGGAACAGCTTTTCTCAGGGACACTAAGAGGACAGGGCTAGGATGGTGGCAGCTTGAACACCCCCACTACCCTGTCCCGCCTCTACCTACATAACACCTCCGGTTGGGGCCCTTTGAGGTTGTAAGGAGGGAACACTTGCTTTAGATCCCTGGGCACTTTCTTCAGAATCACCTTTTTCCGGGTCCAGGCAAACATCCTGGACCAATAAGAAACCTCATTCCAGCTGTCAGTCATTTTCCTGCTAAAGCACCACCCATAACCCCCCACTGCCTGAAGAACAGAGTTCCCCCAACCGGGCCTTCAAGATCCCACCTGCTGTCCCCAGCCCCTTCAGTTCTCTCTTCTCTGGATAGATTTGAGGTCCATCATTTCCTCTGCCCAGAAAACCCTCCCTTTCTGCTTAAGTCATCTCCATCTTCTACCTGCCCAATCCACAATCCACGTGAAGGGTTCCTTGCCCACCCCCACGCTGCCCCCCATGCTGTGCCCATGCTGTCCCCAATGCTATCCCCCGGCTCCCCCCCGACTATCCACCCCACACCATCTCCCCCAACACCATCTCCCCCACACTATCCCCCCACTATCCCCCACACTATCCCCCCCACACTATCCCCCCGATGCTATCCCCCCACTATCCCCCCAGCTCCCCCCAACTATCCCCCACACTATCCACCCCACACCATCTCCCCCACGCTATCCCCCTAGACGATCTCCCCCACGCTATCCCCCCACACCATCTCCCCCCACACCATCTCCCCCACACTATCCCCCCACTATCCCCCACACTATCCCCCCGATGCTATCTCCCCGCTATC